>NC_000003.12:117644967-117947998 GCF_000001405.40 Homo sapiens | reverse complement strand
CCCACAGAAACTATTCCAAAAATTTGAGGAGGAAGAGCTCTTTCCCAACTCATTTTATAAAGCCAGCATTAGTCTGATACCAAATCTGGTAGAGACAAAACGAAGAAATAAAACTTCAGTCCAATATCCTTCATGAACATAGATGTAAAATTCCTAGCAAATGGAGTCCAGCAGCACATCAAAGTGTTAATCAATCGCAATCAACTAGATTCTACTACTGGGATGCAAAGCTATTTTAACATATACACATCAATAAATGTGAATCATCACATAAACAGAATCAAAAGTGAAAACCACATGATCACCTCAATAGATGGAGAAAAGCTTTTGATAAAATCCAACGTCCCTTCCTGTTAAAACCATCAAAGGAACATACCTCAAAATAATAGCCATTTATGACAGACCCACAGCCAACATCATA
The DNA here is from genome assembly GCF_000001405.40 of Homo sapiens. NCBI lineage: Eukaryota > Metazoa > Chordata > Mammalia > Primates > Hominidae > Homo > Homo sapiens. The sequence goes on along the minus strand of NC_000003.12, from coordinate 117,947,577 downwards.
CTAAATAGGCAGAACCTCAAACTATTCCTATTGAGAACTGGAGCCAGATTAGGATGCTGATATGGTTTGGCTCTGTGTCCCCACCCAGATCTCACCTTGAATTGTAATAATCCCCACATGTCAAGGGCAGGACCAGGTAGAGGTAATTAAATCATGGGAGCAGTTTCCCCCATGTTGTTCTTGTGATAGTGAGAGAGTTCTTAAGAAATCTGATGGTTTTATAAGCATCTGGTATTTCCCCTGCTTGCATTTACTCTCTCTCCTGCCACCCTGTGAAGAAATGCCTTCCACCATGATTGTAAGTTTCCTGAGGCTCCCCCTAGCCATGCAAAACTGTGAGTTAACTAAACCTATTTCCTTTATAAATTACCCAGTTTCAGGTATTTCTTCATAGCAGCATGAGAATGGACTAATACAGATGCCCACTCTTACCACTCCTATTCAACACAATACCAGAAGTCCCAGGCAGAGCAGTCGGTCAGGAGAAAGAAATAAAAAAACATCTACATAGGAAAAGAAGAAGTCAAACTATTTCTCTTTTCTGACTATATGATTCCATGCCTAGAAAATCCTAAAGACTACCAGAAGTCTCCTAGAATTGATAGACTGCTTTAGTAATGTTTCAGGACACAAAATCAATGTACAAAAATCAGTAGCATTTCTATACACCAACAATAGCTAGGCTGAGAGTGAACTCAAGAACACAATCCTACTTACAATAGCAAAAAAGAAAATGAAATAACTAGGAATACAGCAAACCAAGAAGTTAGTTTTGAACCAAGAGGAGTCCTCTATTAAACAGAATGCATGATTTTTGTGAATAGTCAGGCTTAACAATTGATAATAATGTTGTTAAAGTCTATTATTTTATTATTATTAGAATTGTAGTAAATCCAAGAGTTTTCTATAGTAACATTATAGAATAGGAATTATAGAAATTCCAAAGGACCTGTGAATTTACAAGAAATATTATTTGAAAAGCTGTCAGAATTAGAAAATTTTCTCAATTAAGATGAAATTATATTTTGTGGACATCCTGTTACAAAAATAAGATTTTTAAAGAGGCATGTGAAAAGTGCTCTAACTTGGAATGTTGTCCTTATTGAATATGCAAGGATATCATGGAGTCTTGTATTACATGAGAAACAGTGTCCTGGGAGTAAGGCAGAGTGGCCTTAAGTCAAGTCCAGTGTCCAGTGAATGTGGATTTAGAGAATCCATGAGGTAGCTGCACAGGAACACTGAGGCACCTTTTATCTCAGTGGCCTGTCACATAATAGGCAATGCTGTACTTGGTGCACAGGAAAGACTCAGTGAGTGCTTGCTCATGCAAGACTTTGGTTCATCTACAGAAGAATCTCTTTTCTTCTAATGGCAGAGGAAAAGAGTGTCCATCCTTTGACCTACAGTTAGTCCTTCAACCTGGATACTAGACCATTTTCTTTCCCACTTTTGTGGGGGGACCTTGCTGGTATCCTCTTATCTGCACCTCAGGCACTTCTATCCTCATTCAAATAAAGAATAATATTGAATTATATAGTGTTTATGAACATCCGCATCATTTTCAAAAACTCATGCTTGTTGTCACCTACTTTGCTTAATTAAGTAATTTGTTGACATAAACAGGATCTTTGGTCCAGCAGAAGCTCTAACAGATGGCATCTAAAACCAAAAATAATCATTAACCTGGCCCATAGAAAGTGTGAAGCAGTGTGTTTAAAAACAAGTGTGGCTGTAAGATGACTCTGTATAAATGTCTAGGAAATACATTCTTCAGACATTTATAGAACAAGGAAATAGAAGTGATAAACGGTGGGGGAAAAAGGAAACAACTAGACATTTATAGTATGAGTGAAGGGTTGTGAGTTCTCAAGAGAGTAAATGTAATTAGTTCAATATTTTACAACATAATGTTAAAATATATTGTAATATCACAAATTTAGAACATATATTTCCAATATGATGGATGTTATCTTTAGTATATTAAATATGATTAAATATTGCATACTTTATATTAATGATATAATTTATATTGATTATATTGATTAAATATTGCATATTTTAAATTAATTTATAATAGTTAACATAATAAATTGTAAATATAAGTGTATAAATTTATTTGTAAGCATAAGTACAGTCCTTAGAAAACCAAGTATAAATTGATTTTTGGTTCTCTATGATAAGGTTTATTTCCATCAAGGTGGTTATCAAGATTTTTCACCATTATCTTTTGTTTCTTATTTTGATTTATAAACTCTTTCTTTGACTGTCTTCTAAAAGACACTGTAAAAGTTAATTGAATTTGTCTAATGTTAGGCTAGTATTTGTATAAACAAGTATAATTTAAGAAACATATCAACTATAGGTCGATCCTTATTGTGACAACTAAATACAGTGTTATTACAAATTATTTTATGTTTGATTTTGCTCTTTTGTAGTAGTGTTAAACTGTTATAGTAACATTATCTTGCTTAGATGTTAAACATATATAATTTCTTGGGTCCTACCACCAAAAAAAAAAATCCGTCAGAAAAGAGACTGCTAAGCCCACCTCTAAAGAGAGCACACTGATATTGATGGGTGATTCTGGTGCCCTCTTGGCACCAAATATAGCCACTCAGGGAGGCATCTATTTCATGAACAACAGCACGTGTTTCCTCAGTCATGTTGTCATTGTTGTGGATACCATTTTTGTGGTGCAAAGTCAAACCTTCACCTATAAAAATAGTTTCCCACAAATGAAGATAATTTTTAAAAATACGTACTGATATATTGATCAACTACATGCTCTAAGATGTGCTTTAGGTCAGGCATTCACAGAGTTATCTTAGTCACTCAGGTTATGGTAGCAAGAAAACCCATAAACTAGGTAGCTTATAAACAATAGAAATTACTTTTCATAGTTCCGGAGGCTAGGAATTCCAAGATCAAGGAACTGGCAGATTTGGGGTCTGTTGTGGGGCTGGTTCTCATAGATGGTAACTTTTATCTGTGTCTTTTATATGGTGGAAGGAGCAACACATCTTTCCAGGGCCTATTTTCTAAGGGCACTAATCCCATTCACAAAAGATCCATTCTCATGATCTAATCAGCTCCCAAAGACTCTACCTCCTAATCCCATCACTTCCTGTGTTAAGATTCCACCATATGAATTTTGAGGGTATTTGGAGGGGGAAGCGGGGACACAACATTCAGACCAGCACATTCTTCCCCATAATTTCATGTCCTTCTCACTTGCAAAATATATTCACTCGATCCCAGTTACTCCAAAACTCTTAACTTGTTCCAACATCAACTCAAAAGTATGAAGTCCAGAGTTTTAACTAAATATCATCTAAATCAGATATAGATGAAACTCAAGATATGATTTATTCTGAGGCAAATTGCTCTTCAGCTGTGAAGCTCTGAAATCATATGCTTTATGTTCTTCCAAAATACAATGATGAGATAGGAAAGACATTCCAATTTCAAAAGGAAGAAACAGGAAAGAAGAAGGAAGCGACTGGTCGGTCCCATGTAAGTCCAAAACCCAACAGAGAAAACAACATTAAATGTTAAAGCTTCAGAATGACCTTTGACCTTTTATCCTCCAACCCCACTGGGGCAGAAGTCCTGCCTTTGCAGCTTTGCCTTGCAGGGGTGGAGCATCTAAGGCTTCAGGCAGCATTGCACCCATGGCTTTGGGTGACTCCACCTCTATAGCTTTGCTGGGTACAGCCCACACTGCAGCTCTTAAGGATTGTGGGCCTGTGCCTGCACTCTCTCAGGCAGGAATGGCATGCTGGTAGCTCTGCTGGTCTGAGGTGGTGGGAGAAGCCTCTTCCCCATGGCTCGATTAGGCATTGTCCTAGTGTGAACTGTCTGTAGTGACCCTACCCTCTCACTCATTCCCTGCCTTAATGGAGAACCAGAGTCTTTGAGTGGCTCCATCCTTTGCAATCTAGGCGAAGGTGAACATTCCTACACACCTGCACTCAGTGCCCTGGTGCAGATGATACTGCATGAATGCTACTGAACTTTACCTACTTGCCCTCTAGAAGGGCAGTTAAGATAAGCTACAGTGAACAGTTAGGATTCAGGAAAGCAAGGACTCCAAATACCTTTTTTCCCTAAGGCCCTTTTATAATGTGCCTGTGTTGAGAGGGACAGCCCTGAGGATCTCTGAAATGTCTTTGGGTTGTTCTTCCATTGTATTGATGAATACTAAATGCTATTCCATAGATCCATACTAAATAGTGGCTTGGTTCTCTACCTGACAAGCTTTCTCATTTCTTATAATATGGCCAGGCTGATAATTTTTCAAATCTTTAATCAAACAGGAAGCTTCCCTTTTGATTCATAGGTTCCATCTTTATATCATCTTCTCTTCTGGCATGTTACTGTAAGGATTAAGAAAAATCATGCTGCACCCTTAACACCTTGCTTAGAAATTTCCTGCACCAAGTATTTTGTTTCATTGTTCTCAAGTTTTACCATCCACAAAACACAAAAACACAGACAGAATTCAGTGAAGTTCTTTGCCACTTGTAACAAACATCACTTTTCTTCTAATTTCCAATAACATGTTCTTCACTTCCATCTGAGATCTTATCACAATGACCTTTACTATCCATACTTTTACCAATCTGTTCATGACCACTTAGGTAATCCCTTAGAAGATTGAAGCTTTCTCCTTAGATCTCTTCTTCTTCTTCTTCTAAGCCTGCATCAGAATTGCCCTTTTCAGGCCTTTCACTGTAACATATGTTTTTCTAGCATGCACTTCAAAACTCTTTCACTTCTACTCATTACCCACTTCCAAAGTCATCTCCACACTTTTAGGTATTTGTTATAGCAGCTCGACCAATTCTCAGTACCAATTTCTGTCATGGTACATGTGGGCTGTTCTAACAAAATACCTTAGACTGGGTATCTTATAAACAACAGAAATTTATTTCTCACAGTCTTGGAGACTGGGAAGTCCAAGACTAAGGTGGAAGCAGATTCAGGGCCTGGTGAGGGCCCTCTTTCTAATAGATGATTACTTCTCACTGTATCCTCACATGGTGGATGGGGCAAGGCAGTTCTCTGGGGCCTAATTTGACTTGTGAGGGTTTTACCTTCATCATTTAATCACCTCCCAAAGTGTCTACTTTCTAATACCATCACCTTGGGAGTTAGGATTGCAACATATGAATTTTGTAGGGACAAATACTTTTTTTCATGTCATAACAAGTATAGGATAAGAATAAATGTAACTGAAGATTTTTTTGAATGTTTTCCATAGAGTAGATATTTTGCCTACTATTTATTCTTCATGAGACACTGCAAAATGGGCATGATTTCTCCCTGTGTCCTTTCAGATGAAGACACTATACTCAGATTAATTATATGACTTGCCTAACATTACTCCACTAATAAATGACAGAGCTTCACTATCTGTGCTTTTTTGGATGGACGGAATATTTGGCTACTCCATATTTGTTGTACAGCACCATCAGTTTTGAGCCCATGGTCCCTGCATGAAAGACTCCTCTCTGAAGGATTGTAAATAACATTGCATCATTTGATTGAATGTTGTGCATGTGTGGTTTGTGGGACTCTGAACTTTATTTTGCTAAGACACACCTTTCCTTATTGACGGTGAAGTAATAGTTTACCTGATAACGAGGCCTAGCCTTGGGACGTGGTATCTTGGATTATAAAGGCAGATGAGCTTGCTAGCAAAGTATCTGGACACATGTATAGGTACAGTACAATCAGTCCTTAATCTGAGTCCATCTTTCATAGTCTCTGATCTTGGATTCCAACATCATGATCCTCTAGACTTGATTTTTACTTCCTTGAACATTTGTTTTGAGTGACATTTGAGCTCCAGAAATAATCTGATTTCCAAAAGACATAGCATAGACCGTTACAAATGTGGGAAGTGAAACCCACATACTAGCTTATGCTATCTCTCCTGTGTCCAGGAGAAGTACATGAACCTACTAATTCTTGATGATGATACTTGTTTAATTATTGACCATCAGTAATACTAAGCCTTTCTTTAATAATCTCAGTTGATCTTCCCAATCCCCCTGCAATGAGGTCTCCATATTTGTACATGGAGCAATGAAAGCTAAGTATATAGTAAATAATATTTCTCACTTATTACAAGGGGTGGGAGACCAAGTTGGCATCAAATCTCTGGTTTCAAGAGCAGCATAGTACACATTTGTTTCATTTCACCATACCAGTCAGATGATTTTTGTAGAAAATAATGGAGTATCTTGCATGTGAACAGCAGGGACTTCTTGTGAGCTTTCTCAGCACAAAAAGATATGCACCATTATAACTATGGCCATAAGTTTATGTATGACCTGGGTAACCATGGAGGAAGTAGCACAGACAGAGGAAAGGACTTTTACCTCCACACTTAAAGACTTAGGTGACAGTGTTCCTACTTTAAAACTGAGCTCTTATTTTATTAGAGTGCCCTAAAGTGATAACTCAGTTGTCACTGGGAATAATTGCATAAATGAGGAGAAACTGTCTTCATCCTCCATTCTTGTATCCACCTATCCAGGAATTACTTTTATAATGAATATTATTTGCCAGGCATTTTTCTAAGCATCTTGGAAGAGGTAGTGAACAGAGCTTTAGTCACACAGTTATTCAATTATGGTTATAACTGCAATGAAGGCTATGATATATGAGGATGGGACACCTCAATGTGCTGTGATAAAGCCTTTCAAACATCAAAGTATATAAAGTGATGCCAAACGTGGACCCAGTGACCAGTGACTAGTTTTACTTGTTTGCCAAATCTATTTCTACCTGAAAATAGAACATTCCTTAGAACCCAGATAGGAAAATTTGAACAAAACTATGTAATTCTTTAGACTATTCTAGTGCCAAACTTTGCATCTCAAAGGCAGACAAATCTGTTTCAGTACACCTCCCTTCTTAAGCTAGAGTCAAGGATCCATAAAATTCAGAATGAAAAACCTATTCACATTTAAGCCAAGTAGCAGAGGGAGGATTCTGAGCCTGTCTGAAACTTTACTCCAGACCCATGTTTTTACCCCAAATCATCCAGAGTAGCAACACCTTCCCACATTCTCTAAAATTTTACTTTTGTTTTTGCTGGTCTGCCCCATCTTTGATGGACTCTGTTAGGGTAAACATGGGAATGAGGCTAAATTCTTGGTACTTAAATATGTTCAAGAGTAGATTTATATATCTCTTTGTGTTTGAGCATGTGGGTCTTTAAAACAGAAGGGCTGAGAATATAAGTCATGCCCAGTGGCCTGAGAGGCTGTTAAAATAGAATAATGGCCCTTCTATTTAGCTTTAAGATTGTTTCTTTACTTTCTCTAGATAATTCCCAATGAGTCAACAGTTGCTGTTTGACTTTTTAAAATTCAACTAACTATGTCTTTTCCTTTACCTTGTCAATGAGATAGATTCCCTGATGACCAATTTTTAAATTTCACCTATCAACTCTGAAGATGTTTGAAATTTTATTCTTATTACTATTTATTACCTGGCAAGTTACCTGACACCAACTTCACTTGTGAAATTTCTTGGAAAAAATAAAGTTCCACAGTTCAAATTGGCCTATTTCTTCCCAGGGAACAATTTCTTTTTAATTACTTTTACATGTAAGGTTTTCCAAGTGCTGTAATTAAAGTTTGCAAGGAGTTGCTTGGGTCAAATACAGCTTGTATTCTCTTTCTGTGAGGATGTAAGTAAAAGTGCACTAAAATCTGGACTTTTTTGCTGACTGTACATTAGTTAGTTTCTTCCTGCTGGTGCGCCTTTTTGCTGATGTTGTTCCATAGTGCATGCCTAAAGAAGAAACTAAAAAGAAAAACTTTAGTTGTTATTGCAGTCTTCTTTTGTGCAAACAGACTAAAGGTACATTCAGAAAGGGAGCCTTTGAGGTCAGGCAGTTGGACAGTGTTAAGATCACATTCATCATTTGTTCTTTGCCCAGTTGGCCAGCCCATGGTGATCAGTTCCTGCTCTCTAGACTACATAATCAGCCCAGCTGTATAAGAGTGTGGCTCAGATGCTGCATTTGTATCATAAGTTCTTTGAATTTTCAGTACCTGTTGGGAATTATTTTCAAACATTAGAGTTCTCTGGGCACTTTGGTAAGGCATTGAATTGCTGTATCTAATCCTGATTCTCAATGTGAAGTATCCTTTCATCCAGTTCAGCCACTCCTGACCTTACTTAGACATAGGGACAGCAGATGGCAAAGAGTAAAGAAGTGAGGGGAGCAAAGGCATCAACAGATCTCCAGGGAATCATAAGGAGAGGGTAGGAAGTCAGAGTATCACATATCTTCTCCCTCAATGCCGCTCTCTGACTTTCTTCTCATTCCCTCAGTCCTTCATTCCATGATTTTGCAAACTCATGTCTCGAGGGCAGGGAGTGCTAACAGAGAGGAAATACTTGCTTATAATTCAAGCTTTCTGGGTGGTGGCAGCACAGGAAAGAGTGATGGACCATTTTCCAGCTATTTCAGAAAAAACAGCACCATGCCTACTCCCTAAATTTTATCCTGTCTGAAAACATTATTTAGCATCAGATTATCTCCAACATTTATTTGAGACCAGATACCTGATTTATTGACACAACTTGAATAGCTTGAACCAACCTCCTGCCTTGTTCATGAAAGAATATGCATCTAGAGATGATGAACAGATACAAAGAAGGCTTCCTTTGCCCCAGGTTGTCCCCTGCACCTCCCTACCTGAAATCTGACTTTTGTCTTATTATTCGTTAATTTATCCAATCAACTTTAAGTAAATGTTTGCTACATGCTGCCATACTAGGTACTGGGGTTGTAGTGGTAAACAAAGAAAACCTCTCTGCCTCAGATCCTTTCTCCCCACCACTCAGAGCTCACATCTGGATGGGGAGGACAGACAATACACAAAAGAAAAATCGAGTTATATAGCATATTAGAAGTTAACTGTAATGGAGAAAAATCAGTAAGAAATGCTGAGGTAGGTGTTAGAAGGCCAGTTTTATTTTTTAAAGGTAAAGCAAGGGAAGATGACATTTGGGCAACATCTTGAGGAAGCTATGGGTACCAGCTGTGTTTGTATCTGAGGGAAAAGTGATCCAGGAAGAAGGGACAGTGATTATACAAACATTGAGGCCAGAGCATGTTTAGAGTATTTGCAGAACAGCAAGAAGACTATTTGGCTGGCTCCTAGTGAACTAGTGGGTGAATAGATGATGAAGTTAGAGCAATAGGATTGTATAGGGCCTTATAGACAATTGTCAGGTATGAATTTTTTGAGTGAGATGGAGAGCAATTGGAAGGTTTTAAGTAGAAAAGTATCATATTCAGATTTAGGCTTTAAAATGATAATTTTGGCTATTGGATGAGAATAACTTGGGTGTAAGAAAGAGTGTGGCAAAAGTCAAAGCAGTGACGTCTTCTAGTAGGTATAGTTATAAAGCTATTGCAATTAACTCAGGTGAATATGATGGTAACTTGAACCAATGTGATAACAGTGAAAGTGACGAGAAATGGTCAGAGGTTGACAGTAGAGCTGTTAGTACTTAATGATGGCTGGGATGAGGGGAATACAAGAAAGAGAAGCATTAAGTATGAATCTAAAGATTTTGTTCCAAGCAACGCAAAGAATGGAATTGCTAAGTTTGGTTAGTTCTATAGGTAGAAAAGTGGTATGAGGGTGGGAAAGTGAGAAGGGAAGGATCAGAAGATACTGCTTTGACCACCATAAACACCTTTTTGTGAAATTAGGCTCAGTGTTGCTTAGCTGTATTTCCTAACGACAATAGGGAAATGTTCAAAAAAAGATGTGAGGAGAGGTAGTAACAGAATACCATAGACCGATGGTTTAAACAACAAACATAGTTCTCACAGTTCTGGAGGCTGGGGAGTACAAGAGCAAGGTACCAGATGATTTGATGTCTTATGAGAGCCTGTCTCCTAGTTCATAACCAGCCTCTTTTTTGCAGTGTCCTTATATAGCAAAAATAGGGTCAAAGAGCTTTCTGGGGTCCTTTGTATAAGGGCACTAATCCCATTCATGAGGGCTCCATCCTCATGATCTTATTTCTCAAAGGCCCTACCTCTTAATACCATCACTGTGGGGGTTAGGATTTTAACATAGGAATTTCAGAGAGGCACAGATATTTGCTCCATTTAAGTGAGGATAATTTAGGGGCATAGCCTCTAGAACCCCCAAAACATACTTGTCCTTGTCATCTTAGCAGAAGATCTGGCACAGTGGATAACACGTGGTTCCTGGATCCATGAGATGCTGGGGCTATTGCTAATCTTGGGTAACACACTCAGCCTCTCTGGGTTCTGCTTTTTTTTTTAACTGCACAATTAAGGTTCTTAATGTCTATGATACATTCTTCTGACATTTTTATGGCCACCAGTTAGAATGACCCTGTAAAAGAGAGGGCAATAGAAGCTTAAAAAAAGCCTATTTCACAATTTTGTCCTTATTTATGTACTACTAGTATACAACTTTACTAGTGAAGAAGAATTTGGACCATTGTCTGGTTAATGAAATCAAGGCAGACAACCAAACAGGATATTTCAATTTTTATAACCTACTTTGGTATCTATATTATCCCGTTTGGTAATCTGCCTTGATCAGATTAAAACAATGATTATTAGATCTCCTTTTTGTGTGTGTGTGTGTTGAGTACACACAAATAGGTTGTTTATCAAAGAATATCTGACTTGAAAATATGCTACTTTGTATAAAGAAATAGAGCCTCTTTACATTTTTAAAAATATATTTTATGATGTGATATGACTGTCCTTTGATGTAGCCTTAGTTGTGATGGGATATTTTTGGGCTGTAACTCAGAAAGTCCATCCCAAATATTATTGTGACACTACCATACCATTGTACTAAGAATGTCAGCTCACCTGTTAGAATATGGGATATGTTAATCATAGGACAGGTTAATCATAGGACAGATGAAACACAGATTTCCTTCCATAGTCTGCTCTTAGCCTGTGAGTGTGCTACATGTCTGTGGTTGCTGTTGTTGTTGTTGCTGTTGTTTTTCCTTTGGAAAGTCCCACTGTATTGTATCTTTTGGGTTGGGAACTTTCCTTTGAAGCTACTGGTTGAGCTCTATGGGCTTGTGGGGCAGATATGAAATCTTTATGAATTCTGCAGTGCTATTAAACTCCACATTTCTCCATTGCTCTGATGCTGACATTCCAAGCACACAAGCAGTTACGCAAGAATCGATTTTTGCCATAGATGAGGTGGGGGTCTGAGCAAGCACCTTGGTCAACAACCAGCTCTGGAGGGGATGTGAAACCCATTATTGATCCAGGGCTGAGAAATCAGTGACTGTTGTATTATATAATTATTGATGGAGCCGGAAAATGCCACGGGCAAAGCACAACTTACTATTTGTTATGCTGGATTGTCTCTCTCGTCTATGTCAGGCCGCTGTGTTCTGCTCTCATGTTCCCATACCATGTTTATTTATACTATGTGCAGTTAGCTTTCATATTTCTGTTGTGATTCCAGCTTGGAAAATGAATGCTAGTTCTGTTCAGGAGCTGTAAAAGAAATAAATTTTTCCAGACACTCTAATGGGCCCACACTGAATACCAAAGTCTGGACACAGGAAAAATGGAGGCTCCAAGAAAGACAATCGGAAGTGTGAAGAGAGGAAGAGTGTTCTTTGTGTGTAGCTCTCATCCACTGTCCTTTTTCTCACCACATGACCCAAGCATGAAATGTGCAGGTGGTTGGCATGGCCGATTGTTGGAGAATGTTGACTGAGTATCTACTGTCTGTAAGGTCATGTAGTAGGCCCTTAAGGAGGGATAAGAAGGATTTGAAAATGAAAAGATAACATGGTTGTAGCCTCGATGCTGGATGAATTGCTCCTGTGTAGTACTTTATAATGCTTTATTTAGTTCACCCACTGCTAGCTCCCCATCTTTCTTCCTTCACTTTCTCTCTTGGGTGCTGTTCTTTTCCTTTTGTACTTACCAGAAAACTTATAGCTCCTAGATAAAACACTAGCTTCCTTTATGATGAATGTGTGTTTTTGATTCTACAACCATATATCAAGCTCAAGAACACAGAACAAATGTCTGCTACAGACAAGAGGGCTTATGAAGAAGTCTTGACCACTATCCAGCTATTTCAATTGACATATCTCTGGACTACAGGGATATGGGGAAGATATGGGCAATGAAAGGCCACCAACACTTATGGATGTTACAGTTAACATTCATCAACTGACTTCTGTTAACAGATGGTTAGGGAAAATTATTAATTTACATTTAAGGTCTCAATAAATGGTTTTTTTAACTGATAGCTGCCAATTAAATTAGGAAGAAAATATATCAAAGCTTCTTTCAAAGAGTTAGAAAAGTAATAACTTTGGGTTGAAAGTTGATTATTGAATAATCAAACAGTCTTACAAAGCCCTATGCTAAAGGAACGGGGTCTAAATTAGATGTAGGGGAAATATTTTCTATTCTTTTGGATAATGGTTCTGCTGTTATACTAAACATGCATTTTTTTTGTGGGCATAAAAGCCTTTACCCTTATGAAATGCATAGAGAAAGATTTAAATTATTTATTCTATAATAGCTTATTTGAAATTTTTTGGACATGGAACTTAGTAAATGTGGTTTTCTCAATATCAAAATCAATGTTTTAATGCTCAGCTGTTAAAGTGAGTGCTTTGGGATAAAAACAAGCTACAGCTGCTGCCATGTTGCTTATGTATGGATGATACAACACTATTCTATGATTCCTGAAAAAACCTCTTTCATTAAAATGGGAACTCTGTGTCTATGAATACTTTTGGGTTTTTATGAGAACCCTTTCAGCTCAGAAACTGTAGAGATATCTTCAACTTTTATTATGTGCATTTAACTAGTTGCATGAATGATGTCTTCTAGACAGCATGCATTGTTCTTATCTTTAGTTCCTTGATTTGCTTTTTTTATGAATTATTAACTATATTGGGAATGTTGCTTTTGAAAATTTTAATAATAATTTCCTTCCTAGAGAGAAATGTAGTGTTTTTCTCCTATTCTCATATCATGAAGTAGTATACAATGAAATGGTAACAAATAACTGAAGCCTATGTCTAAGTAAGGTAAAATTTTTTTTTCTTTTGTAGATTGTCTGTAAGAAGCTAGGTAAAGACAAAGGAAGAGACAAATCAAATTGAATAATAGCAAATTCAAGAGTTTTGGTAAGGAAAGTTTATCAATATAGCAGACACAAATGTTTGCAACTGAAGATACAGGCAAAATTGTCCATCATATATTCCTACCTTTAAAACTCAAACTCATTTCCAAAGTCATAAGTTATTCCTTTACTAATATCTAGAAAGATAATATCTATCAAATATTCCTTTTCTCATATCTCCCCTCTAGTTAGAATATCACTTAACAAAATATTAAAAGTGAGAGAGCTGAATTTAATCAAATAAGTTGTTAGACGTTATTTTTTATCTTACTTTCCTGAGCATTCCATAAACTCATTTGTATGTGTGTGTGTTATATGTGTGTGTATTTAATTTGGTTATCATACAAGATATATCTATGCCTAAAGATAAATTTACTGGAAATGTTTAAAACACCCACAGTTGACTCATTATTAAAACTAACCTAACACTATTACAAGAAAGGCGTTTTTTTTAATCTATTTGTAAACTTTGGCAAATGCAAAAGGGAGAAATAATCAACATCTTGCAAAAGCAATTGGTCAAAGTTATTAATGAGGCAATTCTTTCTGCTAAGGCATCATAGAAAAAGTAATGAGAGAAAATGTGACAATAAATAGCAAGCTACTTTAGATTGTATGACATTTTTATTAATAAAAAAGTCAACTTCAGTGGAAAAGATTGACTTCCTGTGTATTGCTAATAAAAATTTCATATTTTATGCATTATATACCACCATGCTCTATTATCTTGACCCAGGGACAGAGTCAGTTTTCTGTGGCTTCTGTAATTTGAGGACCTGCTCCTAAGAAAAATAATACAAAAAATTACTTTTGAAAAATTTACAAATCTGAACATATTGGTAGGGCATTTCCCAAGAAGAGAGAGTTCTGCCAGTGCCTTCATTGAAACATAACCTTCATTAGCTTCATGATAAATCTGATTATGTATTTATTCTCTTACTTAAATAATTAGAAATCAAGCATTAATATCTCATATTAATATTATTCAGCCATCACTTAATCAGTTAATCAATTGAATTATGTACTCATTGTATTAGAATTACTTTATCTCCTGTAGCAAATAGACACTCACATTTCGGGGTCTTAACACAGGAAAAATTCACTAGGAACACACTTTGTAATGTAGTACCTGGATGGCCCTGCTACTCCTTATTCATGTCTTCATACCATGAAGAGTAAACAGAAATCTAATGAGCACTGACAATCTCTGCCATATTCATAATGTTTGTTGTCTTTCAAACCTACCATATATCAGACATTGCACTAGATGCTGGGGAAAAAAAGAATATATCTGACAATGACTCTGTACTCATAAAGAGCTAACAGTCCAATAAGTGAGAGATGAACACAAATGGCTCTAACGGCAGGGTGGAAGTTGATAAGTAGCATAAGAGAATTACTACATTGAAACACAGAATCCCTTCATCCTCTTCCTTCACAATTCTTCTCTGATTTCCAACATCTTCTTTGCATGCTTCCTGTGGGAGTTTAGCAGCATTTATGTTGAGCTGCAGCAAATTACACCAAGTTATAAAGGAACTTCCTGGAATGAAGTTTTGAAATATGCTTTTTAGAGGAAACATCCACATTTTCTAAGCAAAAATTTTTCATATCCCTTTTCAGTTTAACCAGAGAAAACAGACCCTTTGACAAATAACAGAGCATTTATGTAAAATCAAGTTCTGCTAAAGGTCCAAACTCAGCAGTTCTTTCTTTGTTTCTCAATTCTTGCTTTAGTCAGATGCATTCAGCAGCCTGGACCTACAGTCCCAGAGGAGTCTGGTTTTGGAGTAAGTGATTGCCATGACCAAATGCAGAGAAGCTTTTTGGCCATGGCATTGTTACTCATAGTTCTTGGGTCACTAAAGTCACATATTTAATTTCTTGCTCTCTTTGCCTTCACCTTCTGCAGATCACCTAGCTCCTGACTGATCATGGCAGACCTCAAGCAGACACTGAAGAGAGGCATGCTGGGCACATGAACAGCATAGCCAGGAAGAGACGGTAAAGGCAGTGAGATGATTGCTTGCTGAGTCTCACATCATCCAAGGTGTTCAATGGCGTGCCAAACTTAAATCTTAGAGAGAATAGACATAGTTTCTGTAGCTACTGCCATCTGAGCATTAAATTTGACCAACATAGGAGCCTCCAGAACCAGCTTATTCATGGAAATGGCATCATTGTGCTTTTGGGCATTCTCTTAGTTATGGCCAGACTCTGACAATGCACTGAGAGATGTTAACATATTCCCTATGGCTTGTTTTGAGCATGAGGAGGTGCAATTCCAAATAGTAGGAACGAAGTAGATTTTATAGACCTGAGATGAGTGGAATAGGATGCAGGGACAAGTCTCCAAAGCAAGTAATGAGTTAAATCAAATGTCCTCATCCCTTGGCCAAAACTTGTAGCAGACAAGAAGTGCTGGATCAGTAACTAAAGGCCAGCCCTGGAACATATTTTTAATCTAATAAGGATAAATAATTTCTGAATCATGAGGCTGAGGTGTTCCATACCTCTATGCCATAGCTAGTATTATAGCTTAGGAACTAGAGTATATCTTAGTGTACAGAGGAAGCCATTAGTGGGAGGCAATATGGATATGATGAAAGAGCATAGGCTTTGGGGTCAGAAAGGCCTGGATTCAAATGCCTATTCCAGCCTTTGATAACTGTATGACAATTGTCGAATCTCTTAACATCCAGGCTTTTCTTTGCTTTTCTATAATATGGAATTAATAATTTCTACCTCAAAATATTAAATGAACTAATATGTTTGCATCTGCTGACTAGTGATGATTCAAAAGAGAATAACATTTTTTTTCATTCAACTGCATATGCTTCTAAGAGATTTAAATAGTCTTTGAAGGGAGACAATTTTGGCATTATTTAATTGATTCAAACTGAGGTCCAGGGGGTTTCAGTGTAACTTACTAATGCCATACAATAAGGAAGTGGCAAAGCAGCAATTCTAAATCGAGAATGATTGACCTCACATCTCAATTTTATTAAACTATATTTAAAAATAAATATAGTTTCTGAAAGCATCAAAAATGAGACATATTTTAAGGTTGCATGCAGCTCTTACACAATTTCTTAAAAAAACTATAAGTAACAATGTTTAGTAGAGATTTGGCTCTGGGATATCTTTGTCAGCTTTTTGAGTTTTCCAGGTAAAAGGTTTTCTAGGGTTGAGGGTCTTTGGTGGCAGGGTACAGATCAGAAAGATTGTTGAGAAGGTGAGTTCTGATATGGCTCTGTGCATGATTAGCCTGGTAAGTCTTTGGATGCAAATAAAGTGTGGTTTTCAGATAAGCCTGCACTGAAGCCCTCTCTTTCTGTGACTATGAGAGGCCTTCCCCTTAATAGTGAGATTCTGTGAGACATTAGATTGAGTAATAAGGAGCATATTTGAGTTTCCTTCCCTTGTGTCACTTGAATTTTAAAGCACATTCACAATTTCAGTCTGAGCCAATTCTATAACTACTAATTTGGATATAGATTTTCAGCTTCAACATAAATTGTGCTCCTCAAGAAGATTAGTTATGTGAGTTACACTACTCCAGTCTTAGACAGGCTTTCTTTTTTTTCTCACACTTTTGTGGAGGTTTAACCACTTTTCTTTTTCTCTTCCTTACCTATTGTCAGTGTCTTAACTCACTTTCCTTTCGGAGATGCAAGAAGGCTTCTCAATGACTCTGAATCTTGGGAACTGACCAGTTTTTAGTCACCTTCACCAATCCTACCAACAGCCAGCAAAACATCCAGTCAACATTCTTATTAATTACCAACACTTATGTGTTGAGGTCACAGTGAAGGACCAGTATATCCATAACTGCCAGCATGCCTGTTAGAGGACTATGACATATAATCAGACAAGACACATAACTCAGCATGGCCTTGGGCATAAGAAACATGAAAATTTGCCCTACAGAATTGGTATAATCCATTAAATATGGACTTTGGGTTAGCAGTGTTACCATGGCACTCTCTTTTGTTAGCAATACTATCAGTGGCTCAGAGCAGGGGTCAGCAATCCTTTTCTGTAAAGGGACAGATAGAAAATATTTTAGGCTTTGTGGAACATGTAATCTCTGTTACAATTAAACAATTCTGCTGTTGTAGCATGAAGGCGGCCAAAGACAATATGTAAATGAATGAGTGTGGCTGTGTTCCAATCAAAGTTCATTTACAAAAACAGGTGGTGATCTATATTTGCCCCACAAGCCTTAATTTGCTGATCCCTGGCTTAACGTCATAGAGAGGTAAAACCAAAAACTCATCCAATTCAACCTTCTCGTTTAAGAGATAAGAGAACCAAAGTCTGGAGAAAAGATGAATTGTCTAATGTAACCAAGCTTGTTCATGCCAAATGGAGAATTAAAACCCAGCTTTATAATTCACAGACCAACAAGGTCTCCACCATAGCAAATCATATTGTACTTTTTGATTCATCTTTCCCCAGGACTGTCTTTGCAGCTTCCAGTCATAATGTGCAGTCAATTATATTGCTGATATTGGCAAAGAAATTTCTAAACCTGTATTATTTTTAAGGTTAGAGAGAAAAAGAGTTTTAAAGCATATATTTATTTTTGAGATACATTTTTCATGTTGAAACTTTGAGCAGAAAAACCTCTCTTAATTACAGTGGCAGAACTTTTACTTTAAAACATAAAATATGAAGTCTTTCAGGAAAGTTTTTGGAGGTATTGCTTGAAAACCCCTTCTCTCTAAGTTTCCTATCCATCATCAAACATCCTAAGTATGATGTTAGGTTTGTTTTATTTAAATATTTTATCTAATTTTCAGTCAGTGAAGGGGACTAAGTATGATGTTATCTTAAGTTCATAATTAAGACCTACATCATTTTTAGAATGAAATAAAGAATGACCCAGATTTGCCAAGGGTTTTGGTGTGAGGACTTGAAAACCTTTTCATCTGACAACATGGGCCTAATTATGGTTGATTCATTTGGACAAATAATAGCCTTGAAGAAACAAAGGACCAGACAGAGGCAATGTGACTGCTATCTTCAGAGAAATTCTATAACATGTACACATTTCGTTCATATAGCATTTTCACTTGACTTACTAATGAACAAGAGAGATTTGAGATAACTTTCAAGTCTATTTCATTGATGGAAGATGCATCCATTTCTATGTTAAATTTGTAGTTTGTAGTCACCTTAGTGGTATGGATGTTACTATTAATCACAAAATCATAATGAAGTGTTTCTCAGGCTGTGGGAGCACCACACAATGTAGAGTGCATTTTTGGTCATTGTCCAGTTTATTTGGTCAATGCAGTCAATCTAGGTAATTGAGGACCTAAATTGGATTATCTGGCCATAATTATTCCTGTTTGTCTGTACACATCCATCACATTTATCAGATAATTGCCATATAGCTTCATTTTGTGCTCTTCTGACTCATCTTGGGTAAAATGGAAAAAAGATGGCTCAAGAATGAGCCTTGGGTTCAGTTTTGACTTTGTCACTAAGTTTTCTTGTGACCTTTGGACAAATTGCTGAACATCTCTGGATCTTTGTCTCTTTCTGGATTTGGACGTGTAAGGGCTTTGCCATGTCTGAGATTGTGTTCAACTTTCATGATACAAAACTGAATCAGTTCTACATGCTGTAACTTTTAAAAAATATATTTTTATAATTTTTAATTACTTTGTATACTTAAAAATGGATAGGGTGGTTAATTTTATGTTATATGCTTTTTTACTATTACTTTTTTAAAATTGATGTAGGGAATCACAGAGCCCATCTTTCAATTCCAGAATAGATTATCTGATTTTGTGGCCTCGATGACTAAAATAAATAAATGGCCATTGTTTTAGTCATTAAGGTAACTGAATAAGGTTGACTATTGGATATTGAATCTGTTGCTTTTGATTTGCCTGCTTTGACTGAGGGTTGAGCAGACTCAGCCCTAATGGTTCTTTGCCATGATGTTCAAGATGGGCAGAAGAAGGTGGGACTGATTCCTTTGATATCTGTCAGTTTCCAACTTACACCCTGACAGAAAGCCAACCATGAGGCTTTCTCTCCAGGCCAAAAGTTGCAAGCTAACATCTTATATGGCCTGCCTTGGTAGGAGGAGAAAGAGGTAATTGGGGCAAAATAAGCTACTTCAAGATAACACCAGTATTCTAAAAGTGAAGGGTGTAAAGTTGCCAAGCACTTCACACAAAGTAGTATAGTGAGTCATAAAGTTTAGTGCATGAATAAAAGTATATATTCATTAACTTGCCAGTGTCTTGGAAATGACCTCAACTTAAAATCTTGAGAACAGAGCTAGCGGTGGGATTTAAAGGAAGTGACATGATTTTCTCCCTGCTTAATAAATCCTAGTTCTTCCCATTTTTTTATTTCCCTTGGCTTCTTACCTCACCAGTTCTGACTACCTTGTTATTGCTTGTCATTCTCTACTTTCTTCCCTCCCAAATCTGACTAGCTTATCCCTGATTACCTCATCTCTGCTCTTTGCTGGCTGTCAGACTCTGAATGAGCCTGTTTCATTTTGCACTTTCCACCTTCTGCCATTTTCTGCTCCAGCACTGTGAAATTCAGAATGCAGTTATCTATGACTTGAAAATCATTCTTGGTGGGGATGGTATTTTTTATGCCCTCTCCAAGAGTGGTCATTCATTTGGCTAAGGGCAATTAGAAGAGAAAGATGGGAGGGAAAGTGAAAGTGTCAGGAGGTCTCTACACTAGTTTTCAGCTGCTCAGAAGAATTAAAACCCCCAAGAGAAGTGAGAATATTATTCTGCCTTACAGTTCTCCACCTCAGCTTCACTGGAGACTTATAAAAACAATGACTTCCTATTTCATTCTCAGGTCACACCAGAACTTCCATATTTCTGGATAGTTAATCTTATGTTGCAAAATCTTGACATTATCTTTTATTCTTTCTTTGATATAAAACCTGATAGTTATATAAAAACTAAGATACGCTGCTCGTTTCTTAGCTAGATAGAAACATTAAAGCATCTACCCTATATCCTTATTTTTTAAAATATTTTGTTACCATTGCAATTACAATTAAAACACTAACTCCAACAATAACCTAAGTATCAATAAAATTTCTAAATATTCTAGTAGAGAAAATAACTACAACATTTTAATCAACAGGTATGGTCAAGGACTGGAATATAATGTTACCTCAATTTTCCAGTGAACTACAAGTTAAATTAATTTCTATAGGAAATAGCCTGGAATAAATATGACTCTGAATAGAATTTAGAGACATAAGTTCCTCTGCAACACTCCCCCTCAAAATGCAGGTTGCTGGGCACCATCCCTAGTGTTTTGGATTAACTATGAAGTAGGATTAAAAAATTAGCATTTCTGACAATTTCCAGATGCTGCTGATGCTGCTGGTGTGTAGACCACACTGAGAGAATCACTGTTCTATAGCTATATATACTGTAATGTTTTCTGGTAGGTGTTATTTTATGATAACAGTATGTTTATAAAGTCATTCACAAATCTTTAAAAAAGTAATTTTTTATAAGATTATGTTTTTTCCTAATAATATTCTCAGTTAAGCTACTTACACTTTCAAACAAATAATATTTCATTTAATTTAGCTAGTAAATGGCCTGGTTTGTCATTGGGAAGGCTTAACTCCTTTTCTTAATATTCAGCCAAGTGTCTTTCAAATTTTTTCCAGTTTTATCGAGATATAATTAACAAATAAAAATTATATATATTTACAGTGTACAATGTAATGTTTGACCTACATATACATTGAGAAATTATTACCACAATAAAGCTCACTAGCCTATCCATCACTTCATGTAGCTACTTTTTTTTCATGGTGAGAACATTTAAGATTTATTCTCTTAGCAAATTGCAAGTGTGCAGGATAGTATTATCAACTGTAGCCACTGTGCTGTTTATTGGAACTCCAGAACTTATTCATCTTATAACTGAAAGTTTGTATGCTTTGACTAACATCTCCCATTTCCATTCCTTCTTCCCCCCAGTCACAATCCTGGAAACCACCATTCTGCTCTCTGCTTTTATAAGTTCTACTTTTTTAGATTCCACATAAAAGAGAGATAATACCATATATGTGTCTCTGTGCCTGGCTTATTTCACTTAGCATAATATATCCTCCAGGTTCATTCATATTGTCAAGAATGACAGGATTTCCTTTTTAAGGATTAATAATATTCCATGGTGTGTGTGTGTGTGTGTGTGTGTGTGTGTGTGTGTGTGTGTGTGTGTGTGTTACTTTTTTTTTGTCCATTCATCTGTCCATAGACACTTAGGTTGATTCTGTGTCTTGGCTATTGTGAATAAAGGCCTCTTATTTCCTACATTTCACCAATAATAATAAGTTTACAGATTGACTCTGGTGATGGACAAAGTTTCCAAAAGGCAAGTTATGCACAGATCAACACACGTATCATTTCACTGTCTTCTGCAGCCCAGATTGCTCTATTTTCTGCCTCTTGAACTTGATTTGTGCCCATTTTCATCACTCCTGTTGCCTGGGTACCAGTTAACCAGGAATTTCATGTGTTTGGATAGTGCCTTCATTCTCAATTTTAGTGGCTATGGAACAGAAATAACTTTTGCAGACTGGATTAGATCAGAAATACAGGACCTAAAATTGCTTAGAGAAATATGGCACTGACCTGAACCATATTTCCCAGAAACAGCAGAAAGCATAAGTGATTTAAAAAAATATACTACACTGTCATATATTTCCTGGACAACCTTTTACAAGTCATTTACATTAACAGACAGTATTTATTGTCATGTTGTTCTGGGAACATATCAGTTTTCATAAAGTTAGCTCTGGTGCAATACAGTAAGAGCAGATGCTTAGGCAACCTTGGGGCACTCAGGATCCTCTGAAACAAGTGAAGTTTTGAAAAGGCTGCTTGTACCTTAGGGAAGCCTGGGGTAAAGGCCCAGACTTCTGGGGTGACCCAGAGGTGCCTCGTATACTCACAACATCTGTGCATGTCATTACATGGCCACTTGTCACCCTGGAAAACTTCTGAAAAGTCCACATTGTCTGGCTTACTTTGTGGAAAAAAAATAGCCTGGCTACTAAGGCTAAGACTTCCCATTTTCATTTGTAAATGATTTCTCTTTATTTGATGTTGTTCCATTTTTAACAAATCTATTAGGACTAGGATAATGAACCATGAGGGTTATTGACAATAACTTTGCCCATAGGAAAAGCGGATAGTATGTTAGAAACAGGCTTATTTAAAAACAGAAATAAATTGATCAGGTTAATCAAATGTGAAATTCAGAAGGTTATGCTAGTGAGACTCCTATTTATTCATAGACTAGAATAGAAAGACAGGAGCTTTCTTGTCTTTTCAATTCCTGAACCATTATCCTTTAACTTGGAAGACATTAGTCCAAAAGAAAAACAACTTTGCATGCCTATTGAAGACAGTATTGCCATATAAAACTGTATCATCACTTCACTAGTCTCTTATGAATCTATTTGCTTAAGTGACTCCCATCAGTTCGCTGATGTAATTTCTTTAAAACCTCATCAGCAAACATATGTTTCTTGAATGGTTCATATCTCAGCCTTAAAATGAATTGTAGTTTGTAGCTTTGGAGGAGAAATTGCTTTGCATTTATATCAAAATCAATTCCTTGCTTGAAGTAAAGGATTGACCTTATTATTGCAAACAATGGCAAGAGAACAAGCTGACAATACATGCCATTACCATTCCCCCACATATCTCAACCAGTCAGTGGTAGAGTCCAAATTCCAAGCAAGATCTTCTGTCTTCAAAACTGAGGTGTTTTACAGCCTCTTATATAGATGCTTTATCCCTGTCTGCAGAGGGCTTACACAACCAAATGGGACAGAGGGAAAACAATTATATACACACAAGTCAAAAATGAAAAGAATAATGCTATAATGTACACGTATATGAACCAACAACTATATGCAGGGGAGTGCTCTGGGGATTTACAACACCTTATGGGGCTTAATTTATTTCTGGCTTTGATGCAAGTTTATGTTTCTTCCCTTTGAAAGTTTATTGTGTACATTTTGCATATTTTCTAAAAATCCAACACATTTTAAATTATTTCTTTGGTCTATTTTTCAGATCTTTGTCCTTCCTGCAGTCCCTGAAGACTTTACCAAGTACTTCAGTTTACAGATAAACAAACACTATTTTCATACCCCTAAACCCACAACAGATAACTGAAGTATTTAGTAAGTTATAAGTATGTACAAAAATATTATATACCTAAACCACTTTGCCCAAAATTGATGATGGGAATTAATATTTATTATTTACACATGAGAAAGATATACATATTTATTTCTCTTTAATCCTATCACTGTTTCATAAATATTGTACTTAATCCATCAATAATACAAGATGCTTTTTTTAATCCCAAGAAATAATTAGAAAACATTTATGATAATGATAATATTACTTTGTACAAATATTATACAAACCCATTAAACCCATAGGGAAAATCACAGCTGGTAAGAATGTCAGATACCCTGTCTGCTCAGAAATAGATAGTAGGCTGCTTATTTGATATTTAATGGAAAATTAAGCCAACTAAACAATATTTAAAAGCAGACATTTCTCACCTTGTCTTTAAGCCTTAGCTAAGACAGATTGTCCTTAACATTGAATCTTACCTTCTAAGTTGTCAATTTTATACTGATTTCTGTAATATATTCTAGTTTCATATCCTTTTAAAAATTGTGTTCTAGGACACTTAGATGTTAACAATGGTTTTCAGTGATGGGTCAAGGTTTTTCATTGAGCCATTCCTGCTTGCTTTTCTTGTTGGCCCATGGGTTGCTGCTATACTATACTTCTTTTTCTGATATGTCTTAGAAAAGTAGTGACCCTGCTTCATGTCACACTATTATTTGAATGTGTTTCCAGGTGGCCATTTAGTGACTGTGCAACTACCTTCATGGATTAACATAATACTGGCCATTTAAAGGTATTCACACCAATACACTTAAAGATTTATACTCACTACAGTAGTTTGTATAATGTGGCATTTCCGGCATAGTTTTGGGTAGTAAGTCTTAAGTTTGGAACTACCAACACTAACTCAGATTTTATATTGTGAACATTTATAGAAGAGTAGATATGTAATATTTATTTCAAAGTTCAATTTAATTGTCTCATCCTGGAGGCTTCATGAACTCATGCTGTCCCATTGACATCAACAATTTGGTAAAGTTATGTACTTTCTGGAGTCTCAGTTTTAACATCTATATAAATGGAAAAATAATACTACACTATAGAGAAAATGTAAAATTAAAATAGATAACTCATATGGAAGCATTTAACATCCTAATAAGAATATACCAGTCCCGCTATAAATGTAAGATTTTTTTCCTTCTGTCTTTTCTTTCCATCTATCTTTCCTTCCTTTCTTCCAACAGAAATCTATCTCTTCTTTTTGCTTATAGCTCTTTTAAAGCACATGACTCTGCTTATGTTGTGGTATTTCACGTACATATCTCTCTAAACCTTGAGAGCAAGGGACTAAGCTTGTTGACTTGCACTGCACAATGGCTAGCACAGTGCTTTTTGGAAAAAATTTACATGCTAGATATTTGTTTTCATTAAATTGAATTTTTGAATTGAGCCAAATTAGTGAGTATTTCATAGTTATTTGTTGTAAAATTCACTTGCTAGGAATGGTATTTTCTCCTCTCTCACAGTACCAAGTAAATTATTGTAATCTCACTGTGTGCAAATGTATGTGTGTGTGTGTGAGAGAGAGAGAGAGAGAGAAGGAGGAGGAGAGAGAGGGGTAAAGAAGCATCAGCAAGGCCTGTCACTCACTGGGTGAGGAGTGTGATTGGGGAATTCTTTCTACTGTAGGAAGAACATTTTCTCTGCTGAGATAATTGGAAAAAGAAATACCAATGTGAGGAAGATGAAATCAAAAGCTAGCAACTGAGATGAGCCAAAATACAGAGATAGAGTAGGTGCAGGTAGAAGCATAGAGAAGCATGTGACATGTTGAGCCTCTGAGGGGAAGCACTCCTGGGTCTGGTATTTGGGAAGGATTTCAATGCTGATGGCACAAAGAAGGCTGCATTGACCTGAATACTCAAAGGGAGGAGGGGTGGGACTCTGAGCCCGCAGCACAGCTGCCCAGTGCTTCGGAGGCCCCACTTTATTACTTTCTAACCAAGTAGCTTCATGCTATGCTTCGTGTTTGCAGTAGGCTTAACAATCATGTTTTATTAATTAATGCTTACAGCTTTGCTCTGGACTACGTCTGTATTATTAGCTTCATTTCATAGACAAGAAGGCTGATGCACAGTGGCATTCAGTAACTATATACAGGCAGAAAATTAAGGGCCTTCATCAGACAAAGCAACAGGAGCCCCCTGTACTTTGATATCTTGAAAAAAATATAAAGTTGATTTAGGCTATTCTGCTTTCCCCCTTCTCAAGATACATCTCAGTTTTTTTTTTCTTTTTGTCTACTTGACTACCTCTTCAGACTCAGCATGACAAGAATGGGTAATCCCATTTTATTAAAGTTAAAGAGAAAACGAAGAGGCATGCTACAAAAGTGTCATGAGAATCCCATTAATCATCCAAGCAATCAAATCATAGGGCACTGAAATTAGTATTAGCGACTGATGTCCAAAACTGTCCACTTAAGCTTGTCGTGGGTGACATCTCATCCTTCCTTTGTGTCACCCAGGAACATGCAGGTAATTCTGTCTGATGTGGAGGAGGCAGTGTGGGAGGTAGGAGTTGGTGCCAGCTCTGCCTGAAAGCTCTGGTGGAAAGGACTCTGCAATGACGGTAATTTCTATGGAAGAGTGAGGAGATTCTAAGAATTACTTTTAAAAGCAGCAAACAAACCTATCTAAAATTCCCAGCTTATTTTGTGAATGTCCTCAGCTTATTTGGTGAATGGCCTCCAGTGAATGACTGGATTTTATTCACTATATTCAAACCACCTGAAATGCCCTTTCCCTCTTCATTGCTCAGTCTATTCTTTTGTCTTCCTGTAAGTCCAGCTCAGTGCCATAAACCCTTCAACGTACTTCACTGTCCTCATGAACAGCTACCACACTGTTTCCACCATTTGTGTGAGTGTGTGTGTGTGTGTGTGTGTGCATGTGTGTGTGTGTGTAGTGCTTTCTTTAACTTGGTATTGAAATCTTGCATCACTAATTTTGTAAATATTTGTATTTTGTCTTCCTGTATTTTGTCTTAAAATATTTTATTTGATGTAAAATCTGTCCTATATTTATGTATAGTCTGAACTGCACCTGGCACAAGATATCAATCACACACCTTTTCCTCCTGAGTCTTTCAATTATGGGTGTGAGGGCAAAAAAAAAGGTGGATGCCACCCACCCATTCTATGTTTGAATCTTGAGAGAAGGCTTTTATTTAGTCTTAAGGCTGGTGATGGGTAAGTAGATCAAAAGAAGAAGTAATAGTTTGAACCTATAGAGGAACAGTCTACCATATCTAATTCATTCATTCTTTGACAAATGAGAGAATTTGGGATTAATAAAAATTACAGATAAAAATCAGAGTTTTATAGAAGTGTGCTCTCATGGTGTGTTACTGGAATCTCTGTCATTCCCTTCAACAATGCACAGAACACAACCTGGAAGCCTGCCAAAGCCTCTCAGGAGTGTCGTTTGTCACACCTGAAGAAGAAAGAACTGCCAAGATAACCAGAAGATGCAACGGTGGTCAGACTGCTGTCAGATTGCCCATTCTTGGGTCTTTGGCCTCAATGCAAATTAGTGCGTGTTGACGGGAAATGCACACAGGAATTTAAATAGGACCCATACACTGAGCTGCTTCTTGCTATAGTTTACTCCAGGCCCCTCCCCTGTCTCAACAGGGGACTGGTCAGTGTTTCAGCATTAGCCTCCCACAGTATTTTAAATAAGACTTTTTTTTGTCTTTTCTGCGTCAGAGTCTCTGGTTGCCAGATTGCTGAGCTAATTAAAAGGAGCACAGACAGGTCTTGTATTTTTTCCTCCTTAGTAAGTTATTGGCAGGAGTTCGTCTTTCGGGTCAGAGTTTGTAGAAACAAGTCAGAAAACATTCTGACTGACTGGCAGGTCCAATCACTACTATGGTAATCAAAAAGCCATGGTGGGAACTCTAAAGGAAATGCCATTACTCAGATAACACTACCTCCTACAGCCATGGGGACCAGCCACTCACTTGGGTTTTACAATATTGCATGAAGGGATCCCCCACATTTTAGAGTCAGAGATTGTAACCTGTTCATTGCTTTATTCTCTTTGCCTGATGTAGTGATTGGCACAGAGAAGATACTTCAAAAATACTTGAATTGAGTTGATTTATTTTAGTAATCTATCTGCAGAAAATGTAAATTGCATGAGGACATGTATCTTAAGATTGCAAAAATGAAGATAAGGAAGGATACCTGACATTTACTTTTCACCTTGATCTCAGTACTGCTAGAAAATGATTTTGTCTTACTAAGCTGGTTTTCCTGTTTGGTGTTTTTTCCTATGCCTGGTTGTTGGTAGTATTCCAGGCCATCTGTCTGCCTAGGCCAGTCATATAGAGCGGCACTGGAGATTTTCCTGTGCATAGAGGTCATAGCCACAGAAGGAATAAGGTCAGCTATTGTGGGACATGCTCTGAGGAACTGCTGGAAGTAGATCTATGTAGAATGCTTTGCAGAATACAGGTTTGGGGAATGGGAGGCTAGACAAAGACACAGAAATTGGGCAAAATAAAGATAAACACACATATCTGAAAGAGCTCATAGTATTTTGGCTCACATAAATGGGCAAACACCACTTTGTTAGACTCTTTCCAGGCTCTATACTTAATTGAATCTTTGGTGTTTTCTTTTAATAAAATATGCCCCTGCATCCATACTTCTGATTTTTAGCCAGAATCATATAGTCTAGTATGATTTTAGACTGTTTTTTTTCCCAAAGGAAACTCATCATAAAAGTTATTTTACAAAAATTTCCATCACCGTATTATCTTTGTGGTAACCCTAATTTCTCTAACAAAGCTTTCAGTATTATTTACGCACATTAAGATGTGAGTGACCCGAAGTGATAGTTCCCTGAGGTATATTTTCATCTCATAAGAGGAAACACAACAATAATTTAACCAAAGATATAGGCTGCTAGTGGCAGAATTCAAAGTGTCAACTATTGATCAATGGGGAGATATTTTTATAGCCCGGATCCTTTCATGATACTCATCAATTCTCACTACTTAAGTTTATCTTACTAGCATGTAAGAATAGCTTAGCCCATACATAAAGCAAAAGATACAAGCATGTATTTATGCTAAAATGTCTGGGATATGAATTTTGAGAAAACCATGAAACATCAGCTCAATATATATTTGATTCAAATATTAGCTGAATATTCTGCTTAACTCTCAGTTACTTCCTCTGTGCTTCAACTTTCCCACTTCAGTGATGTCTCTGTAGGTACAGTGTTGACCCAAGTTATACTTACAGAACATACTAACTCAGTTAAGTAATACCAGACCTGTCCTGTGTCATCTACTTTATCTCTAGTTATGGGAAAGGTGTATATCCTACATTAATATGTTTTCCAGCAAATTGAAGTTTAATTTGTAAATGAGAACTATTCATTATAACAATTTTAATGTCAATTTTAGGAACTATACAGTGCACCCCCTGCATTCTTAGAGTACAATAATTGCTATTCAGTGTTTAATGATCAATGACCTAGACCATCAGTATAAGTAAGAATTGTACTCTGAGATACTGTACAAATAATTTCAGGTCTTACATTATTTGAATGTGTTTCCAGGTGGCCATTTAGTAACTGTGCAATTACCTGTGTATATTAACATAATGCTGACCGTTTAAAGATGTTCACACTGATCCATTCAAAGATTTATATTCACTAACGGTAGCTTATGTAATGTGGCGTTTCTTGCATAGTTACAGGTAGTAAGTATTATGTTTGGACCTACCAACACTAACTCAGATTTTGTATTGTGAACATTTATAGAAGAGTAGATGTATAATGTAGGTTACCGAAGCCTTATATTATGTATAATATCTTACAGGTTACTAAAACCTGATTGTTCCTACTCTAAATGCTTCATAAGTTATTCCATTTGTTTTGGTGGTTTCTCTGCCTCTTTTCCCAATGTTCCCACCCCTTCTTAGGATTCTTATTTTAAGTAAAATGCATGGGCTTTACTACATGGTTCCTTGCCCTGCCCCACTTTTTGATGCCTTAATTTTCTGTTCATGCCAGTTTTGAACTGGTCATGAGTTAAGTTGGGTTCCCCCTTGCAACAACAATTTGCAGGTAGTTTATTTGGGAGATAATCTCAGAAAAAAATGAGCAATGGAGTGAAGACGTATGAGCAGGCATACAGGGAAACCTATAAAGGGTGTGTTGTGTACCACTAATGCTTAGACCCAATGGAAATTGCTGGAACTCTGTAAGAAAACCAGTGTCAGAATCTTCCTACCTAAAAGTGAGGAAGTGAGGGAGCAGGGCCTTTGTCTCCAACTTCTGTCTGTCATTGGATGGGAGCTATTCCCTAGGGCATTTACTGCTCCGCACTTTTAACATGCTACATGAAGGCCAAAAGAAAAGAAAACCCTCAGGTGGAGAATCACAGGAGCTTGCAGTTGGGCATGGCCAGCAATTTCTGAAATGGCATGTCCCAAATGAATGTCAGTAGTTTATCAATAGCATCTGCAACAACCAGGTCACCAGTAAGGAAACTTTGACTACGTGGTAGCCCGCTGTATTTATTTACTATCTCTTTTTTGAATTCCAAACTCTTTATAACTAGATATTATTTAAAATTGTCAGAATAACCTATGATTCTGACATAGGCTAGAGGTACATATGGCCACTTTATTGATAACATTTCAGCTTAAATTTTCTTCTAGTATCACAATAATTTATTTCCTTTCTGATTTTAATGTGGATATATTAGATGAATAGCATCATACATCTGATTTGTTTACTGAAAGTACTTGACATCAGTTAGCCAGTCCTCAACAGGGTGCCCTGTATGTGTAAGACACAGTTAAGGTCTTGTTTACCTCTCACAGTGAATTGCACATACCCTGTAATATGCAGTACCTCACAGCCGTATTCATATGGCATTTTGTATAGTCTCTTCCTAAAAAGCATCCTGTGACTTTTTCTTTGGTACCATGCTGCTCCGTTATAATTATATGTGGTAACTTTCCACTAAATTTCTTTGTCCTCTACCCTCTAAGTACATATCATTTGTGTATGAGAAAACCATCTTTTCTTATACGCAGGCAGCAGATGTGATTAGAGGGAAATCTAATTTATCTGGGGTACTCTAGAAATGGAAGGAAATTACTTCACAGCAACATTTGCAAATGCATTCATCATAGACACCCAGGAATTCCAACACTACCAGATGATGGCTTTGTGATCTCTATGTGGTCAGTTTCAAACTGCTTTCTAATGGTCTATATACATTTACTCCATTTTATACTTATGTGTTGTGCTTGGAATACAAGGCAAATGTGTTGGACAAGGGGAGTTTGGTCAGGTATGGACAGAATTTTATCTTTTGAGTCTCTAATAGTGTTTCTAATTAGTGTAGCAAAAGCATCTGAATTATTTGTTAGGTTTATCTAAGTATGACTGTGTTTGGAGAAGATATAAAGAATGGCTTGTTATCCCTTTTCTCTTGTTGTAATACATTTTTAGATCTCATGTTACCTTGAATTGATTAATTTGTACATTTATGCATAATTCAAGACTTATTTGATCATATACTGTGTTAGGCATAAGTTATCTGTGTTCTCTGGACACCCAATGCCCATCTTATTTGCTGTATGTGTATGTCCTCAGGTGGTTAAGCAGGAAAATACAAGGGGGAAAATGTAAAAGAAAAATGCTGACCGAGTCCTGGAGATCTTATAGGTGTCCTGTAGGGGTGAAAAGAGGAGAAATTAGGAGATGAACTTAGATTTTAAATGCAAAACAGAGTGGCAAAGCCAGGACTAAAAAAATCTTCTGTTAAAAAAGTAGCTGCCTTCTGGTCCAGGAGCTGAGGGTCAGAAACATGAAATGACACTGGTCTGTTGGTTCTGGGTCCAGATATGCCCTCTCTGAGAAAATAGACAAGCCCCTCCAAGCCTCAGTCTCCTCATCTGTGAAAGGAAATGTGTAGATTCCAGTTGTTTCTTCCAGGCCTGTACTAACGTGAGGCCACCTGGCTTTTAAATGCAGGCATATTCATATTTTTCTTATCTTCAATTCATATTCTCCCTTTTATTCATCTCATTTCTTTCTCAACCACAACAAAACACAGCTTAGTAATGTTTGTTATAGGCTCACTTTTCTTAGCTGTACCTAATTAATAAGAGATCATATAAACAAATAGAATATACTGAGAAGTAGAAAAATACCTGTGTTGCAAGACTAATGTCATTATACATACCAAAAAATTCAGAGCACAAAGAACATATTACCATTTATAAACATTAAGGGGCAGAAAATAAATGTCACTGATGGAGATCTATTTATACATATCAGACTATAACCTGGCACTATGTATTTCATTTTTGCATTTTGCCTTTCTTATAAAAGTTTCTCAGAATGTTATGGAGATTGGAAATAAATGAATGCCCATAAAAATAATATCTCCAGGCAATTGCAATATCTGATGTAAAGAGTATCTACAGGTTGTGAATTTTAACCACAGCTGGTTTCTAGCTTCTGCAAATGCTTATAACAAAACCCAGAGGCATTTACATTTGATATATTCAATGGTTTGGGGACCAAGTGGATAGATGTTCTCAACTTATATTTAATTGATATATAATAGATTTAGTTGTAGTCAATTTCACTTTGGATAAGATGGAGCAAATCCAATTTTGCTATGTTTTCTTAACAGTTTGGAAAACTAGCTTTGAGGAAGGAGTCAGGGAAACAAAAGATGAAAATACTAAATGGAAATAGAATTCAGGTGATATTAGGTTTCCTAATATCAGCAGACAATATCAGTACGTTTTCTCTCTCTTCAAATATACACGTTTAAACTTGTTTTAAAACCAGAAAATATGGGTATCTATACATCAAAAACAAAACTGGGACGTGAATGTAAGACAAAACTCACATAAACAGACAAAAAAAATAACGCTTAAAAATGATCATTGTTATTTTTACAAAAGAATTCTGTCTTACACTTTACTTTCACAATACTGGGTTTTAAATCCAACCAAACTAATACAAAAAAGAGACACTAGGAAATCCGTTAAATATTTATTTACTAAAAACATATTTTTTCACAGGGCAGTCAGGGAAGACAAAGCTGTGTGTTAAATATGAGCTCCCTGTCCAAAAGAGAATATACATTGGCTCTGCTTAGCAGCTCCCCACCCCCATCCCCGGCTGCAGATGAAGTGCTGAGACCTTACTCACATGCAATTATTAACACTCCCAGTAAATCCTCAAGATCCCGATCCTGTTGATATATGTCATGGCAGAAATAGCTCAGTACACAAAACGACAAGAAATGCTGTTCCTGTCAGTGGAGAGATACTGTCGTCCACATTAAATCACAGGCAGATGGAGGCGCTGAGAGCCTGAGTTCATAATGCCAGGACTTCATGTCTACCAGGGTTCCAACTCTATCTCAGACACGCGTTCCTCACCATGGCTTTGATAGAGGACACTGCATCTGAGATAATGTTGCCAGTGATTGGATCCAGTGCCTGACTGGGCTTCTGACTGGTTTTTGGCTGTTTGTTTTGTTTTGTTGGTCTTCATGTAAACTTTTGACACACTTCTATGACCCTGATCAAGCCATTTCACCTTCATTCTCTGCAGTTTTACCATTAGGGAGACAAGGTATAGAATATTTACTTTGTTCTACAGGAGCGCTAGGGAAATTATACAACCCCATTCTTCTCCAGTCACTAAGGAATATAAGTTCATCTGTCAAAGGAAAAATATCAACCTAAATATTGCTATTCTTGGACCAGGCTCACTGGTAGCCTAAAAATAGAATCACTGAGATCTTGAGAGAAGACTTTGGCCAAGACACTTCAGTACCTATTTCCCGTTGGGTGTGAAGTGACACCTTGGGAGTAGAAAGAACTTTATAGGGGCTAATAAGCTTCTAAAGGAGATGAGATAATCACCTGTAATCATTAATGGTGGTGACTCTCCCCTACTTGCTTCCAGGAGCAAGGAGTGGTGCATTCAATTAGTGGACAGTTAATTTTTTTTCTCCGATCCCTATACATGTCATGCAAAGTGAATGCCACAACTCAGCTGGTAAGAATTCCCCAAAGAATATAGTGCCAGGCCGGGCGCGGTGGCTCACGCCTGTAATTCCAGCACTTTGGAAGGCCGAGGCGGGCGGATCACGAGGTCAGGAGATAGAGACCAACCTGGCTAACATGGTGAAACCCCGTCTCTACGAAAAAATACAAAAAAATTAGCCGGGCGTGGTGGTGGGCGCCTGTAGTCCCAGCTAATCTGGAGGCTGAGGCAGGAGAATGGCGTGTACCCGGGAGGCAGAGCTTGCAGTGAGCCGAGATCGCGACACTGCACTCCAGCCTGGGCGACAGAGCGAGACTCCGTCTCAAAAAAAAAAAAAAAAAAAAAAAAAAGAATTTAGTGCTATGAGGAAGGGGAAGAGGACAGAGAAAGAGAGCAGTAGGAAGGCAAAGCAAGCTGTAGTTCAGTTAGCTATTCTGTGACAGAAAGAGAAAGCACAACTCAAGGATTATCAACCACGTGCTGAGTGCTGAGCGCTGAGCAGAATATATGATTTGCAATCAAAATCAGACAATGTGCTATTCTCAAATGCCCAAGTCAGGGTTTTAGTTATTTTATTGAAGGTAAATCTGGAAATGTCATGGAAAAAGACAGCCTCCCTCTATGAGTAGAACCATGGGACTTTCCACTTGAGACTGTGCAAAACAATAACAACAAAACAAAAAACAACAAAAAATGACCTTTCCATGAGAGTCTGGTCCTGGCCTTCCAGTCCCTCCAGGGCTATGAACAGGCACACAATTTTGCAGTGTGAAAAGAAAAAAAAATAAGGTGGAGATTAAGATGAGTGTTTTTAAAAGCAAGTGAGAGTGTATATGTAAACTTTGAAGCCATTGGACCTGGTACCAAGCTGAAAAAGAGATGAGATAAATAAAGGAGAAGAAATAAAAAGTCAAGTACTTGAGAAGCGACAGTCAAGTAAGGTGCAGCCTGGATGCTGATGTGGGGGTGTGCTTGGACAGCATATGTAAGCAGACTGTAAGCACAATTGAGATTGTACTCCCATCATTTTTATAGCTCCGTTAGGGAGGATGCCACTTTCTATTCTTCTTTGCTATTCCTTTTCTTTTTTCTTTTTTTTGCCGGTCAGGTATGAAAGCCCAAGGTGCCTTGGTACTAACTTAAGTTGCTTTTGATGTATTGTCTGAAGCCAGGTTTTCAAGTTCCAGAGGCACTCACTTTCTCCTAGCCATTAACCATTTGGAATAGTAAACTCACTGTTCTGCGAATTTTTTTTTCCAGTTCCAGATGAATGACTTTGACCTCTTCTCTACACGGCCAAAGAATTGGAAAATATAACCCAAAATGAAATGGAAAAAAAACACAGAGTATTTTGAATTAATGCAGATAAGAGGGAAACTATAGCCTGGCATTTTGCAGAAGGTCTCTACAAAGACAGAACAATACAATAAGCTTGGGGTAAATGGAAAGCACTAGCAGTCTGTGGGTGAAGATATAAAATGGTCAGGCAGTCCAGTTTCAAGCCAATCAGAAACACTCACATATATGCTGACATTTCAAATTCTTGAAATGCAGTATTGCTATTTTCAAAATATTGAGGTTCATTATTGCAAGCCTTGTTGATGCTGCTGCTGCATCACACAATACGCCTTTAGGAGGGCCCATGTGGGTCAGGTTCTCAGTCTACAGAACTGTGGAATAGAGGTTTGTTTTAGTCCTATGGCCAATGTGAAACTTAACATTAACCACATCGTCCCATTTACCTGGGCTTCTGGGGAATTCAAAGCCAAATGTGCTGCCCACTTCAAATGTATAGAAATATATTGCATACTGCCATTTGTTTTCTTTTCCAACTATTTTTTTTGCCATATTTGATCTACTTCTTTTACATATTTGTATATATTTTTGAAACCTGACACAAATTTTTGGAATGAGGCTTATATAAGTAAATCAAGTGATATCACTGAATATTAAAGGTATAAGGAGGGAGTGAGGATACTCATGAGAAGGTATACCTGAGCATTGATCTGGTTATGTGATATAGACTCTCATATATTACATATTTTAACTATTACATTAACAGATAACCTTTCTTTGGCTCTTACTATGTATAATATGCAGTATTAAGCACTTTATATTACTAAGTACTTCATTTTCGTAGTTTTGTTTGCACTTCATTGCAATTCTATGTTGTTATGCACTTAGTGACAAAACGGATTCAAAGGAGTTCTATGTTTTATCCAAGATCAATAATCTAATAAGTGATGGAGGTGGGTTTCCAGCCAGAGCAAGTCTTGCTCCAGAGTCTATTCTCTTAACTCTGGGGATAATAGGTCTGAGTTCAAATCACAGTTCCATCATATAGTAATGATGAAACCCTGGTTAATGACATAACCTTTCTCAACTTCTGTTTTTCCAGTCTCTAAAATGAGAATAGGAATAATAATAGTACTTAAATCAAGTAATATTTAAAACTTTTAGAATGGGGCTTAGAAAGTGCTTAATAAATTACAAATATTGGCTATTGTTATATTTAAAGAGTACATACATAGTATACATAATTAAAATTATTTTCCTACCAGTGGAGACATTTCTTCAATATTCAATTAATCACATCTTATAACTCCCTGCACATATGCCCCGGCAGTGACTGTTCCCAGGAGACCCAGTGTTGGAAGGCACATGTCGACATTTCAAATGTAAGGTACTGCAAGGTCAGTGTGTCCCAGGAGAAGGCCAGCTGCCAAGAGACCTTGCAGGGCAGCATTTCCAGGGTGAATTCATCACAGCTGGAGTCCAGACCTCAGCATTGCAGGTCCCAGTGCTTGGTCTGGTTAATGCACAGAGCTGATTATTTAGGGGGGATGACTTGTAGCAACTCACAAAAGACTGAGGCATATAAATTAGAAAGCCACTGTAGTAATTTACAATGAAAAATATTACTGTTAACTGGACCAGACATT
Source organism: Homo sapiens (assembly GCF_000001405.40). NCBI lineage: Eukaryota > Metazoa > Chordata > Mammalia > Primates > Hominidae > Homo > Homo sapiens. Next base: position 117,911,143 of record NC_000003.12, on the reverse strand, counting down.
TGCATCAGTCTGGCCAGTGAATTCCTGCCCTGCACAAAAGCTATGCAGGGAGTCACATTAACAGAAGGTTGCTTGGTGAGCAGGATGCTTGTTTCAAATGCTTAGTCTCATCAGGTGCTAATGGCAGCATGCATCCATCTCCATCTACCTGCCAGAAAGAACAGACATTCTGAGCAGCCCAACAATGCCGAGATGTCCCTTCCTTGGACAGGAGCAGAATAGACCTCTGTGCTTTCCTATTTCTATAGTACTATGGCTGACCAATCTGTGCTTCAGATTGTTATTTTCTTTCTTTAATCATATTAGTTATCACAGGAAAGCTTGTTATGGTCCAGAGCCATGCTGCCTCTTAATGGCAATATGGCTTGATCTCTGCTTATTTAATAGTTTAACATTTAGAGGGCACCTTCATTGTTAATCTTTTCAGATTCTTGTGCGTGCTTCTTAAACTACAAACACAATGCAGACTCTGCCTGATGTCACTACAGCATCATCCTTTTCTGGTGGTTTTCTCACCATCCATATAAATTCCTACTAAATGAATCTCCTTCTCTCTAATAAAATACAGTAAGAATCTATACTTCAGCCGTCATAAATGCCAGTTATTACCAATGCCCCATAGGTTGTTACTAGCCCTCTTTAATATATTATTTAATTAATATAATTAAATAATATATTATAATCTATATTATATATTATAATATATATTATATATAATATATTAAATAATATATTATAGATTATAATATATATTATATATGTTATATATAATATATTATAATCTATAATATATTTAATATATATTATATTAAATAATATATATTATATATTATAATATTATATAATATATAAATATATAAATAATATATAATATATAATAATATATATTATATTAAATAATATATTATAATCTATGATATATTATTTAATATATTTAGTAGATCTTAATATGTATTATATAAACTTGATACTTTATTGATAAAAACTTTATGGAATTATTCTAATTAATTGTGAGACCACATTAATCACCACCATGTTAGTAAGATCCTAGCACCATTTTTGACCCTCTTCTTGCTTCCCATAAGATCTAGAATAAAATCAAATATCCTAGATATGGTCAAGAAGAACCTGCATAATCTTGCCCTGGCTGCCTCTCTGAATTAACTTCCTCCCACTTCTCTTTCTCTCACACAGCCTCCTTGATGTTTTTGGAATATGCCAAGTGTATAGCTGCATCACATCGCTTGCCCTTGCTCTTCCTCTCCCTGGATGGCTCTCCCTCTAGGCAACTGGATCTGGTTCATTATTCTCCCTATTCAGTTCTGTTCAAAAGTGACCTTCTCAAAGAAATCTTCTGGCCATCCTATCTAGCATAGCATCTTCTCACACTTTATTTCTTTATCCTGCTTTGTTTTTCTTCTTTGCAGTAATCACCTCCTGATATATTATGTGCATTATTTGTCTTTCTGAACAGGATATATTTCAAGAGGCAGAGGCTTGTTTGTGTCGTTCACTAACTGGTGCATAGTGGGTACTTAGATAATATTTTTGAATGAAAGAATGAACTTGGTAATATTTTGGTGATAATCAGATTTTCTTATTTTTCTTGTTGTGCCAACCATACAAGCTTGCCTAGAATGTTGTATTGGTGCTAACTTTGCATTTCTATGATATTTTATCATGGCTACATCAAAGGAAGCCAGGGTAATGGTCAGACCTGCCCAGAAGCTCATTCAAGGCTGAGTATCCAAATCGTATACACTGTCAAGCAGCTTCCATGAATTGTTGCTTAATTCTACCTATCCCGTTTCTTTTGCAACTTATTTATCTTTATATTTCCTCACTATTAAGTGATCTCTTTTGTATCATCCTTCAAGTAGTCATCAATACTTTTTGACATTTGTTCTCATGAATGATAAAATGGTGAAGAGGCACTTCAATTAGTCAACAAGCAATTACTCTACTCGTGTCTCTCCATCCTCCAACAGCTGATCTGCTCTTGCCTTCAGGCCTTCTTACTACCACCCTCTTACCACTAATGTCATCACCTTATGCTGTAAGTGAGAAGCTGTAGTGTTTGCTCTCATCTGACTTTGGGAGAACTTGTTATAATGTCCCATTAAGTATCACAGTGTGCATGAGTAGAACTATAAGATTGTACTGTCTTTTTAAAACTGATTCTCATTTTTGTACTGTTTTCTACCTTTTCCCACCTTTATTTCCCAATGATATTAACATGAAGATAATTAACTAGAAAGCCTAAAACTTTTAGTTTTTACTCTCCTTTCCTTCCCAAGGAAAATGTGGGATTTTGAAAACTGTTGACATATGCCATGTATAGGTGTGCTTGGTGAATCTAATTCAATTTCATCATTAAGGAGAAAACTAATTTTAAAACTACATTTGAACATAAGGTTTTCGAGGGGAGGTGTGTGAGGCCAGGACTTGTTGGCCTATTAAAACTCCACAGATCAGTTTGTAGATTCTTAACTAAGGACAACTTTATTCTTCAGATCTGTCTGTACTGAGTGGCATGACATTTTGCTAGACAGCAGGTACTAAAAGATATACTTACTCATCCTTCACATTTGCTCATCCCCAGGCTACTCAAGATATGCCACTGGGGTGTCTTTGAGCAGGTTCGCTGATGCTGCTTGGGATAGTACACAATATTAAATGCAAAAAGGAGATGTTTAAAACCATTAAAAATACCACGAACTGCGAGAAAAATATGAACTCTATTTTAAATAATCATGGTTGTAAATGCATTGGCACCTAAGAGGGAGAAAAAGAAATATCAAGTTTATTCTTCGACCCTTTATATATATATAAAATGTGCCAGTTAACTGTGTGCATGTGTGTTTCTTAGTATGTATAACATATGAACCCAGGAATATGGACTTGTTTCTTTGTTATTATATTCATATGTCACTTAACAATGAAGACACATTCTGAGAAATGCACTGTTAGGTGATTTCATCATTGTGCCAACATGATACATAAAGTATATGTACACAAACCTAGATGATATAACCTAGATTTTAGCCTAGTAGCAATAATCTATACAATACAGCCTAGCCTACACACCTAGGCTGTATGGTATAGCTTATTGCTCCTAGGCTAAAAACCTGGAAAACCTGTTGTTGTACTGAATACTCCAGGCAATTGTAACACAATGATGTGGCAAGAATTTCTGTGCCTAAATATATCTAAATATAGAAAAGGCACAGTGAAAACATACTATAAAAGATAAAAAATGAAGCACCTATATAGGGCACTTACCATGAAAGGAGCTTGCAGGGCTGGAAGTTATTCTGGGTGAGTCAGTGGGTGAATGGCGAGTGAATGTTAAAGACATTACTGCATACTACCATAAACTTTATAGACACTACACTAAATTTATTTAAAATTTTTTCTTTCTTCAATAAGAAATTAACCTTAGCTTCCTATAACCTTTTTTACTTTATAAATTTTTAAATTTTTTAAAAAATTGTCTTGTGTAATAACACTTGGCTTAAAGCACAAACATTATACAGCTGTGCAAATATATTTGCTTTCTTTATATCATTCTGTAAGCATTTTTCCATTTTTTATTTTTTATTTTTTTTAACTTTATAAATGTTTTTGTAAACAAGACAAAAACATATACGTTAGCCTAGACCTACACAGGGTCAGGATCATCCATATAACTGTCTTCCATCTCCACATCTTGTCCCACTGGAAAGTCTTCAGGGGCAATAACATGCATGAAGCTGTCCTTTCCTATGATAACAATGCCTTCTTCTGGAATACCTCCTGAAGGACCTGCCTGAGGCTGTTTTGCAGTTAAGCTAAAAAAATAGGTAGAAGGAGAACACTCTAAAATAATGATAAAAATATGTTCTGGTAAATATATAAACCAGTAACATAGTTGTTATCATTATCAAGTATTATGTATTGTACATAATTGTGTGTGCTATAGTTTCGTATGACTGGAGTACAGTGGGTTTGCTTACACCTGCATCACCACAAACACATGAATAATGCATTGCAATATAGTGTTAGGATGGCAATGATGTCAGCAGTCAATAGGAATTTTCCAGCTCCATTATAATTTTATGGCACCACCATGGTATATGTGATTCATTGTTGATGGAAAAGTCGTTGTGTGGCACATGATTGTATATGATACGTGGGTAGGCTGCTAGACTACTCTTTGCTCTAGGATGGTAACTCCTATCTGGACACTTTTCATTTGTTACTGTTTGACCTCTTTGCTTGTATTACAGGCTATATTTAAAGAAATAGATAACATTCTCTCTGAGGTTGATTTAAACCAACATCCTGTACGTTGCTGCTATAGCTTCCCAACATTTTGTGTAGAGGGGATGCTATTGAAGTTGTGTTTTAATATGGAGCCACACTGTTTTCTTTCTCTGACCCAGTCTACAGTCAGCCTGTCCCAAGGCTGCCATCTATTCTCTGTGTTTGTGCAGCTCATCTGGACAGCTCATCTGGACAGACACAAAGAATAGCTGTGTTGGAGCTGTGTTGTGGTAGGAATCACTTCTGTGCTGGTAGATTTTCCAGGACTTCATTGATGATGATCCTGTGTTTCCTTTCTATGTGATAGCTGAGATGATCTAAGTCAGCCTCTCAGATAAGGGAAAAAGGTGATAACCTATATGATATGATTTGAAAGATAACAGGAAAGCTATTATATTCCTAATTAATTACTATGTAAGTATCAATGTACCTCAAATTTCATTTCCAGAAGCATTTCTTTTCATGAAAATGTTGCCCCCTCTCTTCTCTGAAAGGGCCTAACCCTCTTGGAAAGGGTTGAACACTGATGTGTTAGAGTTAGTGATACTATTAGCATGATTTGGAAGAATCTGGGTTCTGAAGAGGACACAATTGTGGAGAACCATTTACCTCTTATAAATTTTAGGCAGAAATTTTCCTCATGTTACAATTATTAAGTCAGGTAAGAATCCCATGAAGATGGAAGCAATACTTTCACAACATCTACCATATGTATTTTTCCACTGAGGCAGATGAGTTCCGATGAAGCATAGAACAGTACCTATGCTGAGACAATAACATATCAATTTTGTACATACTGAAGAGGTAATGACTACTGTTATGGCCCTGTTTGTGTTTTCAAACAGAGTGGGAAAGGATGGAACAGTTTTAGTTTTTGTCTATTTCTTCACTATGTGGCATCCTGAGGAACTGAGAGCAGTTAAAGAATAACTTTATTCTCTACCATCAATAAGAATTAACATGAAAGCATTTATTATGAGCTATTCACTGTTCTTGACCATTGACAATATCTTAGCAAGAGTCCACTGTAGGTGCCCAGATAATCAAAACCAGAATAAATGTTTTCTGGTCTTCCCAACAGCCTTATAATGCTAATAATAAAATTATTGTTCAAATTGTGACAGACCCAATGGCTTATCATGCTAACAATAAAATTATTATTCAAATTGTATTTAGTTTATTGATATTGATTTGCCACAAATTTTATACTTAGTAATTAGCAAAGCAAGACTTGAATTCAAGTATATCTAATTCCAAATCACATATTGTCAAAAACCACATTCCATTGCCTTCTTAAGCAAGTTTGAAATGAGACCTAAAGACATATTGGTCATTAAAAATTGTGATTTCTGTGGGCCATGGGGGAGGGGAAAATGGGAGAATCGCTGTTCATTAGGTATACAGTTTCATTTATGTCAGATGATTAAGTCCTAGATATCTTCTCTAAAATATTGTGTCTATAGTTAATAATGCTGTATTATACCCTTAATATTTTGTTAAGAGAGTAGATTGCATTTGAGAGGTTTTTAACCACAATAAAAATAAATGCATACATACAAGTATTCTAACAATGAAAAAAGCCGATAAATTATAGGTGCTATGATGGGAACATGTGTTGGCTATAATGGAATCACAGAAGATTGTGATAGTCTTTCTACCCATTAGGATGTAAGAGGAATTATGGAAAGCTTTATTAGAGAAGTATACTCAAACTATTTTAAAAGATGTGCAGGAGGTTACCATGTTGACAAACTGTGAAATAGAATATTCCACACAAAAGGACCAGAGTGAGAATTGCAAAAGGGCTTATATAGTACTTTTCATTTGAAAACTGAAAATAATTCATGTGAGACAGTGCAAAAGATACTGGTGTATCTACCCCCAAGATATAGCTTAACAAATAAATAGATAAACAGATTAACAAATACATAAATAAGCTGACACCAAGTTTCCTTATTAGGTAGGATAGCTTCCAGTAAAGTATTAGGAAGTAAAAATTTGAGTAGAGAACATCACTCTTAACACTTGGATTATAGGATTGACTAGATTCACAAGATGGCTGGAGAATCTTCTAAGCATGAGCATGTGGCCTCATTTATGATTCTTAGACTTAGATATTCTGTGCTTAAAACATTTATTTTGACGTAAGTCATCACCAGGGTCATTTAACTCTTATTGTATGTTCCACCCAGAACCTAAAAATCTTATACTCAGAGCTACGTCTTATTATAAAGTTTAATGAATTCATTTACAATACTTCTCCTACCACACATATACACCACATGGTGTCTTGTTTGCACCTTTCTTTTGAGATATTTCCCCCCAAATGGAATGAACCTATGTTCATTGCAAATTTAAACTACAGAACTGTATAATAATGGAAATGAAAGCATTGTACAAAATTAATCACTGCTAATACATTTGTGTATGACTTTCCAGTATTCAAATGCATATTTTACCTATTTGAAATTATATTGAAATATAATTTCTGACTTTCTTCCATGTTAACATGACAACAAAAGAATTTCCCATCTTTTAAAATTCCTCAACAAATAGCATTTTGATGGCTGCATGGTGGTGTGTCTAGAAGAACTATCGTTTTCTTAATATTTTCTCTATTATTGAACATTAATGGTGAGACATCAGATATAAATATTCTGTGGTCAGCTAACAATTACTGTTGGCACTGTGTGTGTGTGTGTGTGTGTGTGTGTGTGTGTGTGTGTGTTGTGGCAGTTGTTGGTAGAAGGTTTGAGCTGAGGGAAAATATGCTATATCTCCCCCCATCTCAATTTAAATAGGTTTTAAATTAATCCTTGGCTCATTCTGTGACCTCAACCCTGATACTAAGCTAAGAGTGAGGGAGGGGATGGAGCTAAGAAGAGCTAGAGCTTGAGGAAAAATGAGATACAAGAAAAGTATAAGAGAGGAGAGAGATGCACCAGGGAAAGAATAAAGTTGAATAGAGGGAAAGAAAGAAAGATGGTAGAGAATACAAAGAAATATTTAGCCAATTATTTCTCTATGACTTGCCAAGGTGGCCAGGATGGAATTATGCTTTCAGAATATGGCATTCAGTTTGCTATCCATATCATTTCCTTATCCCAAACTCAACTCAACTGTTTTGCAGAAGCATGTGAAAGTATGTGTGACATACTCCCTCTTCTGATATGGGTAATTGTAGCATTTAAGAAGCTGGCCTTATTGCAAAAAAATAAAATAAAATAAAATAAAATAAAAAATCTGTGTTCTGTTGCAAAACTCTGGAATTAGATTTCCTGCTGCCCTTTCACCTTCTCAATTGCCTGGTATACCACAGCCATCTTTGTGATGGCAATCCTGAATCCTTGGCCTTAAACCAGCCATGCTCCCCTGGGGCTGCACACAGCAGTACTCTGAAATTCCTACTTACTAGCTCCTTCAACAGGACTGATGCTGAAAGGTTTTGCCTCTGCTTTCAGCATTCATTACATTCCTTATAAATGAAACATGAATGTAATTCATATTTCTTCTAGGGAGAGAAGTTTTAGAGGCTTCATTTATTCATTCAACAAATATTTATAGGGTCCCTTCTGCACTAAAATACCATGGCAGGCACTGTGTGGGATACAGAGATGCATAAGTACAGTTTCTACCCTTAGGAGTTTAGTCTACCACCAAAGAAAGCCTGTTAATTTTGCCTCTTCTGTATTTTCTTTATCCATCTACTTTTGTCCACCCTAACTACAAGAGTCCTAATTCAAGCAACCATTATGTTCTTCCTGGATTACTACATGTTAAGAATTTTATGAAATTATTGTTATGCTTAAAAGCATTCATTGTCAGGCCAACTTTCTAAATCTTTACTATGAACTATAAGGCCTTATAGGATTCTGGACCCAGTTAAAACTGAGATAAAATCTCCTGCTTTCCCCAATTCTAGCCATCTTCAATTTCTTTTAGTTCTTTGAAGGTGCAATATGTTTTTATTACTAGGATTTTGTGTATGCTGTTTCTTCTTCTTCTAAGATTTTCACTACCTCATATTCGTAGTCTCCTCCCCTATTTACCTACCAAAATACTATTTATTATTTAGGTCTTAAATTAGGTTATAATTTTTTTTTTTTTTTTGAAATGGAGTCTCACTCTGTCACCCAAGCTGGAGTGCAGTGGCGTGGTCTACTCACTGCAACCTGCAACCTCCTCCTCCTGGGTTCAAAGGATTCTTCCACCTCAGCCTTCCGAGTGGCTGGGAATACAGGCACGTGCCACCATGCCTGGCTAATTTTTGTATTTTTAGTAGAGATGGGGTTTCACTATGTTGGCCAGGCTGGTCTCCAACTCCTGACCTCATGATCCGCCTGCCTCGGCCTCCCAAAGTCCTGGGATTACAGGCGTGAGCCACCGCGCCTGGCCTAGATATAACTTTAACCAAGAATATTTTCCTATGTGCTCATGTGCCTCTCCCACCTGCAGACCATATTTGGTGTCCCTTCTTTGTGCTCTATGACACCTTGTACTACCGTCTTCATACCATTCATCATACTTCTTTATTGCTTCCCTGCATGAGCCTCTATTAGGTTACACTTTTCATGAGGCAGCTACAGCGTCTACCTTGTTTTCCATTGTGTCCCTATTATGTAATCGAGTGCCTGCTATGCTGTATTTATAACTGGGAACATTTTAATTAAAGTGTTGTATTAATAAACCTGTAGTACCATTCAGGATCCCTTACATACACCATTAATGCTCCATATACCATACACATTAATATGTTACATACTGGGTAAAACTATATATGATTAAGTGGTAGGTTCATAGGAAGTGTTATAGGTGTTACAGGTCAAAATAAATCTCTGTGAATGGGAGAGTCGTGGAAGACTTGCTGGGATTAGGAGGAAGTTGAATAGTATCATGAACAAAAAGAAAGAAATAGGTAAAAGAAGATAGTGGGGCATTCCACACAGTGGCATGTACATTTGTGATGTGATGAACAAATCGTAATTAAATGCAATCAAAATTTTGACTTTGTGTATTGATTGGGTAGGAAAAATTATGTTGAGAAGAAGCAGGTAAGAAGATTGAAAAGGAAAAGTGTTATTATGAAGGGATGTGAGTGCTGGGCTCTAGAGCCTCAGTGTTCTTCTGTGGACATTGGAGTTCCATTTACCTCCAGTGATTATTGAGCAGGAGAGTGAAATATGAACACAATGTTTTCAGAATATTGAGTTGGTAGTTGTGTGTCTGTTGGATTACAGAGAGAAGGAAAGGACACACTAATTATAATGATTGTTCTGATTCTCATTAGAGTGGTGGGAGGAAAAGATTGTAAAGAAATATGACACAATATTCAACTTGACTTGGAAGATGAGTTCAGTGCCTAATTAGGTAATAGTGAATCAAAAACAATTATAACTTTATAAGCATAATTTTCTCAAAAAATATGAAATGAATGAACAGTTGACAAATATTGGGATATTACAGTAGAGAGGGAGTTGCGAGAGTGATACAGATTGTCTTAGAGTAATACAAAAAGTCATAGATTGGCAGGTTGGCAGGGTCATTGGAAATTATTTAGAGTAAAATACTTTTTGCAGATGAGCTACAAAGGACTTGTAATAAATTTGAGATGATTCTGTACATATTGATAGAAGCTTTCAGAAGGTATTGAGAATTAAGAGAGTGAATGCTGAGACAGAAATCAGGGTGGAGCTGCACATTTGGAAATTATCATTTGAGGGTTTGTTGTGAAATCCCTGAGTGAGTGTTCCTTGAGGGAGAAGGCATAGATCTTTAAGTGCTAACTTTATTCACAGTAAGTGTAATAAAATACTGTATATTGTCCAATTTATCTACAGTGGCTTGTTAAGTATATAAGTTTAAATTGGCATGGTGGTAGGCCATTCGAAAAAGAGGCAAGGAACAGAAAAGAGTAGAAATTCAAGTTCTGAGGATCTAACATTTTTCATTTACTTTTTAATTGATACATAATAATTGTACATATTTATGGGGTACAATGTGATGTCTCCATATATTTATGCATTGTATAATGATCAAATCAGGGTAATCAGTATAACTATCACCTCAAAAGCATATTGTTTCTCTGTGGTGAGACCATTCCAAATCCTACCTTGTAGTTGTTTTGAGATATACAGTATACCTATCTTGTAGTTGTTTTGAGATATACAATATATACAGTAGGTATATACAATATACGTATCTTGTAGTTGTTTTGAGTTATACAATACCTTATGGGAGTACTCAGAGTGTGGAATGTTTTATCTCTCTGAGAAGGGGTAGGATACAAAAGTTGGGCAACCAGTTGATGGAGTCTTGGAGTAACTCTGAATGATTACAGCTTCTATGGCATTTGCACTGGTGTGTGAAGATGTTGTTAACTAACTTTCACATATTAAATAAAATTTTAACAAATCATGTTGAGCAATGTGATCAGAGACTAAAGAGGTAAAGAAAAGAGGTGGAAAAAATCAGGAAACATATGTGGATCTAAATGAGGTAAAAGCTAATGTATAGTGAATACTTCCTGACACACTTTTTCATATACATTATTATACTAATCTTTACAATAACATGGTAATGATGAGAAAGCTCAAAGCCCATAGATGTTGAATAACTCATATAAGTTAACATATGTAGAATCTGGCAAGGATGGGGTGCAATGGAGCCTGTGTAATTGCAGAGTCTGAAAAGAATCTCACTGAATGGAGGGATTAGATAGGAGGTAAAGGAAGGAAGGGAGGGACAAGGATGAAGGTAAAGGAAAATGTGTACTGGCAGATTTGAGAGAATCAGGAGAAAGTGGGCTAGAAGAATTTTGACAGTGTAAATGAGAGAACTGTATATGGCCACCAAGTCCTATATTCTCAGAGTACCTTCCTCACTTGCCAGACATCTTAAAACCTGGCACAGTTCACTCCCAAAAAAACATTAGAATCCTGGTAAGTGGGCAGGAATATTTTCCAAGTGGAAACCAGAAGCCCACCACTGACATGTATGAGGTATTCACAGGCGGCTTTTTAGAATACCTTCAGGCTCCCAAATCTCTTTACCTCCCCCTAATATATGAGAAAATGAAAATGTGGGGAAAAATTAAAAATAAACTGGTATCTGTAAAGTCACATGTAAAAAGACATCACCGCAAATACTATCAGTAGTCATTGCTGCAGTGGAACGAGAGTACCTTGAAAGTACAATTCACAATTTCCTCAGCCTGTGTGCTTCCTTTAATACGTGGGTGAAACTATGTAGAAGCCCCTTCCACTGGGAAAGCCATAGGATGGAGGGGAGAGAAACCTTCCTGGTCCCTAGTGATCTAATAACATGAAAAGTGAATTCAACCCATGGGCAGTAAATCTCCCTGGCTAAAAGGATGAGCACTAAATGAATTTCTTGCTTGACAGCGGCCCACAGCAGAAACCTTTAATATGTGTGGGCCATTTCTGAGTAACCCTTGCCTTCTTTGACATGCCACTATTAGATGCTGGTGATCCATGTTGCTACTGTGCTGCATACAGGCTGGCCTAGAATGGTTTTTAATTAAATCCCCCTAAAGGATGGTCAAATCGACCTGTCTTTGCTGAAAGAGTAGTTGTGATCCAGTGTCCTAAGAATACATACTCCCCTTGATGGCCTTCCTCTCTCCCCAGAGGCTGTCTTATTGCATCACTGATCAATGTTTCTCTCTCCAGGGCTTCTAAGCAGAAGCATGATGAAGACAGAGAATGAAAACCCAGTGCGGTTACCATAGCAACATTTTCAGAAAGAAAGGAATGAAAGAGAGAGAGAAAAAAGGAACTCTACTATTATTTAAGTCCTGAACATCAGTGAATGAGCTGCCTTTCAGGCAGTCAGTGCTAGGGTTTATTTCCCTAAGAACCTGAGAAATAGGATCAGAGTCCCTTCAATTCCAGCTCTTTCCAGTAGGGGGTGAAAACATTAATAGCGTGAGGCATAGATGAAGAAAAACAGTCATACAGGTACATTCTCTCTCTGATATCGGCCACACTATTAAATACAGGCATATCTTAGAGATATTGTAGGTTTGGTTTCAGACCACTGCATTAAAGAAAATATCACAATAAATTGACTCGTGAAATTTTTAGTTTCTCAGTGCATATAAAAATTATATTTATACTATAGTGTATTAAGTGTGCAATAGCATTATGTCCAAAAAACAGTATACATATCTTAATTTAAAAATACTTTATTGAAAAAATTGCTAAAGAATGCTAACATTTATATGAGCCTTCAGCAAATTGTAATCTTTTTGCTTATGGAGGGTGTTGCCTCTATATTGATGGCTGCCGGTTGATCAGGGTGGTGGTTGCTGAAGGTTGGGGTGGCTGTGGCAATTTCTTAAAATAAGACATCAAAGAAGTTTGCTACATAGATTGACCCTTCTTTTCAGGAAAGGCTTCTCTAGAGCTTGCAATGCTATTTGATAGCATTTTTTACCCACAGTAGAGCGTTTTCCAAAATTAGAGTCAGTTCTCACAACCCCTGATTCTGTTTTATCAACTAAGTTTGTGTAATGTTTTAAATGCTTTGTTGTCATTTCAAAAATGTTCACAGCATCTTCACCCAGAGTAGATTCCATTTCAAGAAACCACTTTCTTTACTCATTCATAAGAAGCAACTTCTCATCTGTTCTGTTCAAGTTTTATCATGAGATTGCAGGCATTCAGTCACACCTTCAGGTTCCATTTCTAATTCCAGTTATTTTGCAATTTCTACCACATAGGCAGACACTCCCTCCACTGAAGTCTTGGACCACTCAAAGTTATCTAAAAGGGTTGGAATCAACTTCTTCCAAACACCTGTTAATGTTGATATTTTGACATCTGACCACGAATCACAAATGTTCCTAATGGCATCTGGAATGGTGAATCCTTTCCAGAAGGTTTTAAATTTACTTTGCCAAGTTCTATTAGAGGAATCACTAACTATGGCAGCTATAGCTTTACTAAATGTATTTCTGAAATTATAAGTCCTGAAAGTTGCAATTGCTCCTTGGTCCATGGGCTGTTGTGCTAGCAGGGAATAAAACAACATTAGTCTCCTTGTACACTTCCATCAGAGCTCTAAAATGAACAGGTGTACTGTTAATGAGCAGTAATCTTTTGGAAGGAATCATTTCTGAGCAGTAGGTCTCAACAATGGGTATAAAATATTTAGCAAATCATGCTGTAAACGGATGTGCCATCATCCAGGCTTTGTTGTTCCATTTCTAGAGCATAGGCAGAGTAAATTTAGCAGAATTCTTAAGGGTCTTAGAATTTTTGCAATGGTAAATTAGCATTGGCTTTAACTAAAATTTGCCAGCTGCATTTGCCTCTAACAAGAGATTCAGTCTGTCCTTTGAAGCCAGACTCTGGCTGTGAAAGCTCTAGATGGCATTTTCTTCTGAAAAAGGCTGTTTTGTCTACATTCAAAATCTGTTGTTGAGTGTAGCCATCTTCATCAATGATCTTAGCTGTATCTTGTAGATAATTTGTTGCAGCTTCTACATCAGCACTTGCTGTTTTACCTTGTACTTTTATGTTGTAGAGGCAGATTCATTCCTTAAACCTCATGAACCAATCTCTGCTAGCTGCAAACTTTTCTTCTGAAGTTTTCCCACTTCTCCCAGCCCTTATATAATTGAGTAGAGTTAGGGCCTTGCTCTGAATTAGGTGTTCCTTAAGAGAATGTTGTGGCTGGTTTGATTCTACCCAAGCCACCTAAACTTCCCCTGTATCAGCAATAAGGCTGTTTTGCCTTCTTATCATTTGTGTGCTTACTGGAGTAGCACTTTAAATTTCCTTCAAGAACTTTTGTTTTGCATTCATAACTTGGCTGTGTGGCATCAGAGGCCTAGCTTTCATCCTCTCTCTCCTTTTGACATGTCTTCCTCACTAAGCTTAATCATTTATAGCTTTTGATTTAAAGTGAGAGACATACTACTCTTTCTTTCACTTGAACACTTAGAGCCCAGTGTAGGGTTAATATTCACCTAGTTTCAATACTGTTGTGTCTTAGGGAATAGGGAAACCTGAGGAGAGGGAGAGAGATGAGAGAATGGCCCGTCCATTGAGCAGTGAGAACACAGACATTTATTAATTAAGCTCCCTATTCTATATGGGTGCATTTCATGGCACCCCAAATCAATTACAATAGTAATATCAGAGATCAATGATCACAGATCACAATAGTAGATATAATAATATTTTAAAAGTTTGAAATAACGTGAGAATTACAAAAATGTGATGCAGAGACACAGAGTGAGCACATGCTATTGGAAAAACAGTACCCATAGACTTGCTGCATGCAAGATTGCCACAGACCTTCAATTTGTAAAAAAAAGTAGTATCTATGACACGCAATAAAGAAAACACAATAAAAGGAGTTATGCCTGTGGTGTAGTCATCTATGAACGTTTATTCTGGTATCCTGATATCTTCACCAGCTTTGGCAAAGACAGCATATAAAATGTTTGTTACCTTGCTTCATAGAATGTATTAGCATCAAGGGTAAACAAATAATGAATAAATTTTCTAAGGAAAGGAATATAAACACACAAGTAAAAAGCAAACCGAAAGCAAACACTTTGAGTGGCTGTAGATTGAGAAATCTCATCAGCACTGAGTGGTGTTAATTTGAAGCCATCAAGGAAGCATGAATGGTTTTGTAAAAGGAGAGAAACATGAATTGACAGTAACATAATGTGGTTTTCTGGTTAGGGTGAGATAGAATAAAAACTTCATAAACTTCCAGGTGTGATAGGTAAATCATGCCTCAGATAGTGGGATAACCTGGCTCTCCTATTATCAAATGTCTGTGAAAGCTAAGAAAAGAGTTTGGTAGGACAGGTAGAACAGGTGAATTAGTGAAGAGCAGATCAATTTATATTTAATTTGAATGTCATAGGGTTTCTAAGATGTTCTTAAGTCCCTTGGGGGGTCTTTAGTAGGAAACGCTTGAGAAAAATTTCATGTAGCAGTGTATAGAATAACTTTCTTGGCTGGGGAATAGATTATACTAAAGACAAAGAGAAGAAACTGAAGTAAATTAGATGTGCTTGTGTCATTTGTGAGTAAGGTGAATCTAGCCATTCTAATAATGACAAGATAGGAATTAAATGAATGCTTACTATAAATGGTCTTCACGTATGATAATAATGTCCACTACCATTTGTTAAGAGTTCACAATGTACTAGGCAATGTATTAAATATATTTTAAGTATTATCTCACTTATAATCTTCATGATAAACCTAGGAGGTTTTGTTATATTCACCATTTTATAGCTAAGAAACTAAACATCAGCGAGGTTAATTATATGTAACTGATAAGCATGAGACTTGGATTTGGACCAGACTCTAAAGATCATGATTCTTCCATTGTAGCACATTGTATGTGATTCATATATGCAACAAGTTGTAAGACATGAACCTAAAAGAGATGCCATGGCTTGACCTTAAATAGACATATGTGGTAAAGTATAAAACCCCAAAGAATGAGGATAGCTGTAGTGCCATCAGAAATTAAAAAGATATTTAGAAGACAGTACTTCAGCAGGACATTTTTGCTTTGGGGAAAGGCTGGCCCTGTAGTTTTTATTGATTACATTTTAACTGACAGCAACAGGGATAGCACGTGTACCTTTTGGTAAGCTTTCTACAGTTAGCAAATTTTCAAATATTTCATGGGCATGCAGTTTCTGGACATGCTAATATATCCCCCCAGGAGGCAGAAGAAGGTCAGCCTAAAAAGAGAACCACCAGCAGCTGTAGTTAGATCCTTCTTTCCACCAGCCTTCAGCAAAATGTCCTTTTAATTTTCTTTAACCCTTATCTTGCAAAGTTGAAGGCTTTCGGTTTAGAGTTTAAAAGAACTTCCATCACTAAGTGTTTAATCCTTAAATCTTAATATATGTGTTTAAAATTCATCCAAGCCTCTATATAAAGTCATGGGAAGGAAGAAAGCATTTCATGTTCCTTTGCATATTTTCCTCAATTCTTTCCCAAAATGATAACCCTAGGGTCTAATAGCCTGCTTTCTGCTTCTCCATCTAATTTGCATGGCATATACTTTATAGTACAAAATGTCCATTGATGGGTAAGAAAGAAAAAAAAAAACAGTGACCGTTTCATATCATCAACAGGGGAATATGGGTTTGGATTTAGTCTAATTCTGAACCAGTGATAAGGTGGATTAACACTAAAATGCAACAATGCTGACATTAGCAGCTTCTCTACTCCTTGAGGCAAAGCAGTTGTTGATTAGCAGTGTTTAGAATTCAGATTGTAGAAGCAGAGACCTACATTACAGTCCTGGCTTCACAACTTCTTAATTCTTAGACCTTGGGCAAGTTACTTAACATACTTCAGCCTTTGTTTCCTCATCTGAAAAATGAAAATAGCAGCCTCAATTTATATGATATTTATAATCAATGAGATTATGTGTAAAATATTTAAAACAGAACCTGTATCATTATGTGGTTGGAGACTGATGCTATTAAGAGCAAAGATGGCTAGATGGGTAGTGAATTTAACATAGCAGGAGAGAGAAAGTATATTGTTTCAGAGTCACAATGATGACTTCCACATGAAGAGACATGAGGTTGGATTAGAACAAAGCTGCAGAATGGACTTTCTCAAATTTATAGTACTGTGCATATAAGCAGTATGTCCTGGAAGCCATAGAGAGTGACAGAATCTAGCAGGCAGAGAGTGTAGGTTTGGGTGTGCGGAGTGTGGGGAACAGGCATTCATGCACTTTCTTGTACCTAACATTAACACTAACTTGCAAAGATATGTTTTTTTTGTTTTCTCTCCTTCCCTCATCATGAATATAAGTAAAAACAACAACAAAATATCAGAGAGAGGCTTTGATGGTTTTAACACCTTTACATGCACATATACAGAACAAGCTTCCCAACAAGCAAAAGTGACAACAGCAACTGTTGGAATCATGCTCTGTGGAATTACAGGAGAGTACTGTCATCCTGCCTTAGATTCCATTCATCACTTGGCCTGTCAGTTACTCTTTGACAAATAGTTTCCGTAATTACTCTGGTTCCTATGAAACCACATCCTGGGTTAGATTTGTTTAAATATTACAATGTCTATATAAATTAGAGTCACCCTTTTGTCTAGGAACAAAAATCCGGAAGGTCTATTATTTCAGAGGTAATCAGTAGAGCACTTTAGACTCTTTATAATCACAAAGTCTAGGTGTCAATGACTTCAGGCTGTCCAGGTATCTAAAATTTTGTCAGTTTAACAGTCTGTAACCCTTTCTCCTTCATGTGTTTGTATTCCCATGTTTTTAAGCTTAGAATGGGATTGTCCCTATGGTACATCAACCTTTCATTTTTCAAGCTAGTAATCTCCTATCAAGTTTCAATCCATTCTTCATATGGGCTATAGGTTTAATACACTATACAATATGTTCCTTTAAATAGCTTCTAAATAATTAATTAAATGCTAATATTGCTTTTTTTCTTAACAATTGTTCTTAAGTGTTAAATCAATCACAGATTAATTGAAACTTCCTCACCATTTTCCCTTTTCTCTCCATAAATTAGCTTTTACTTTCATTTTCTTTCATGGATCTTTTTCCCCCTTCTCCTCAGGCATTCTCAGAGGGCATCTAAAGTTCTTTGGCTCTGTAGTTTTGAAGTGTGCAATTTGGAAGGAATGTGGGTCTGGAGGGAGTTAAATTAACTAGAAGCACTCTGATTTTTTATTAAGTTGCTTCTTTCAAAGATATTATAGAACAGTACAGGTATTCATTTTTAAATTTTCTTTAAAAAAAGGAAAAAGGCATTAAAGTTCAGATGATTTTAGTTCCCTTTTTTGCTTTACTTTTAAGGTCTATACTCAAAACACCTTTATCATGTTTTTAGTACAAAGTTCCAAACATTAAGAAAATATATTTATTGAATTTAATTTGGTGAAAATTAGAGGTAGGAAATAAAGAGTGCAGAACAACCATCAAATGAAAATAATGTGAGAAGCCAGCACAGTAAGGCATTGATGAGCTATATCCTAAAGCAAAGAGTGAAAATTCCAGATGATTGAGGATTTGGACAGCGATCAGACATCAGCCGAATAATGTGCAGAAAGAACAAAGAGCACAGTCGTGTGGAGGGAATTCTGAGTGTAAGACTATAAGAATGAGCAACACTATCACAGCTTTGTGCAGCTTGGGTAGAAAAATTTAGAGAGGCCACAGTGGGTAACAAGTAGGCCACCAGTCAGCATTTTTTTTTCCTTCTGGAGGAGTGGTAAAAAGCAAATCTGTAACTGTGAGAAAGGAATGAGAACAGCCCTTTTGAAATAGTCAACATGACTCAGGCCTTGGCTGGACTGATAGGTCCAGTCCTGGGACTCAACTGGAGGCTATGCCTCACCAAACACCCCAATAGAAATGGAGAAACAGAATCAGTCACCCAGTGGCCATTGAACATCTACACATTTGACTTTGTAAATCATATCATGTGAATGGCTAGTTAAAGGTATCAATTATTTTCATCACTTTTAGTTTGCTTGCTTCAGGTAGGCATCCAAAAAGGTACAGAATATTCAGAAAACTGAAACGATGGTTACAATTTAGAAAATGCAAGATTGTTTCTGCGGAAACAAAACTTATCCTGCCATTATCTTCTTAAACTAAGTTAATGGATTTCAACCCTTCGTGTAAAACCCAAGCTCCTTAAGATGACTTGGAAACTCCTCTTTTGGGGCTTGATGTCCCATTTGGCTGATTATTTTTATATTGTTTCTTCACACTTTTTTCTTTCAATCAATACTGAACAATTTAAATTTTCTTAATAAACACAATATGTTCCACTATGATGTGAGACCATTTGGCATGCTGTTCCCTCTACTTCATTACAACCTTGTTGTCTGGCCCCTCCTACTTTAAATTCAAGATTCACCTCAAGTATTAGGAAACTCAGAAAACCTTACCATGTCTGGTCCAGCTGCCTCTCTCTAGTCTTAGTGCTTACTCCCCATAGCATGAATGCCTTTTTATTTGTTCCTCTCTCCCATTAGACTATAAGTAGCTTTAGGGAGATACCATGTAGACCAATCCACTTTTTCTCCCCATTGCCAGACAAAATGGCTGTCATCTAAGTATGCGTATTAAATGTTAGTTGAGTTAAATGTCAAAGGAATAGGATAATTAGGATAATTATGTTAGAAAGTGCTATCATGATTGTGTCCCCCTAAAATTTGTATGTTGAAACCTAATCCCAATGTAATGATATTAGGAAGTGGGACCTTTGGGAGGTGATTAGATCATGAGGGCAGATCTCCTATGAATAGTATTAGCACCCTTCCATTATTTGAGTACACATCTGGAAGGTAATGTCTATAAGGAACAGGCCCTCAGCAGACACCGAATCTGCCAGTGCCTTCATCTTGAACTTCCCAGCTTCTAAAACTCTGAAAAATAAATGTTTGCTGTTTATAAACCACCTAGTTTATGGTATTTTGTTATGGCAACCCAAATGGACTAAGACAGAAGGGAAAGCTAAAAAGATAAATAACAGCACTGAATAGAATGAAAGACATAGGTTGAGAGTATTTGCAAATTCAACATCTGATCCATTGATGAAGAGCACTATTCTATAAAATAAAAAAAGCCAGAGCTTTCCTAAAAAGGGCAATCTTCCTGTGTAAAGTTTCATCTTTCACCTTATTATATGCTGTGATGTTGTGTTTGTGTGTGTGTGTAACTTTTCTCTAAGTCAGAAACTTGCTATTTATTTATTTTTTAAATATTACAAAGGGGCTGACAGAGTGCCATGCATACAGTAGGCCTTTTGTAGGCTGACATTTAATAAAATATTTGTTGGATAAAATAACATTGGAAGAAAGGCTTTGCAAAACTGTTAAAAACCAAACTATGTGAAAGCTATAATCTATTTTTTCTGTACACCAGTCATAATATTTCTTCAATGTAAAAAGAAACTGACATTTTAAAGGATGAGGCTATCCCCCATATTTCCTTTTATCTGTCAGTGGAATTAAATGTTCTTTAGCAAAAGGCCATCTCTAGTTGTGTGTATCCATATCAATGAATTTAAATACTTCTAAAAATTTGAATGATGTCAAGCAGAGAATACGTAACTCCTTAAATGTTTAATTTTTAATTCCAAATTGTGGCGGCATTATATTTTAAACATGAAGATGGAAATTGATTTTTGTGGAACCCAGGACAAGATTGTCCTGGAAATCTGTATGTAATTGAATAGAATAATGATTTGCAAAACATATTTCTCAGACCAGAAGCATGGGCATTCTAACACCTCATCAGAAATGCAAATTCTTAGGCCACCTCAGGCTTACCAACTCAGAAGCTCTGGGGGTGAGGCCCAGCAATCTGTGCTTTAACAAACCTTCCAGATGATTCTAATGTAATAAAAACTTTGAAGCCCATTGGGATAAGCCTTTCAGAGCACCACTGGGAAGTGTCAAAGGGGACCACACAACACTTGAAGACCTCAGGATTGTCTAGCCTTGTGTATTCCCTGCACAACTAACTTTCTGTGCAGGCTCTTCCTAACACTGAAGCTCATTTTGGTGCGCCCCTCAAATGCTGGTCCCAGACTTGATCCAATGGCCAGAAAGCAAAGTCTATACACTCCGGCCAGTAGAAAACATCAAGAATTGCTTATAATGAACAGGAAAAAGGCCAAATCCTACCTGATTTTTTGACTTAGCAAGTGTTACGATAACTAAGAATAGACAACTTGTACAGTAAGTTGCTCATCAAGTTGAGAATATCATAAATGCATTTTCCATTCTTTCATGCTGTATTATTGCACAGAAGATGATAAAACAATTGGATTGTTGGCAAATTTATGTTTTGATATAATATCAATCAGACAATGGTTTTGATTCTTCAGTGCCTTTGAGACAATGAATAACTGCCTTTTAAAAAATGTCAAGTATCTGTACAACTATGTTCTTTTTCCATTTTATTCTCTTCCTTATACTGTTTTGTTATTCTGTTTCTTCTTGTCCTGATCTCTTTGATGATCTCTTATATAGCAAGGAAGTTTAATAGATTATTAAGGCTGTTTGGGGATCACATCAAAGTGAGTGCCACTCAAAATTTCTGAATACCCTAAAAAAGTTGACTCAGACTGTGATTTCAGAACTCTGAAGCCTTGTAATATTACGTGCTGTTATTTTTGGACTCCCCTATTTGGAGTATCCAATGACAAAAGTCACTTGAGAAACAATACATTGTAAGTGGAGAGCTCTATTTTGGTGGATGATTTTTTTTCTTTCTTATTTTTTTTGTGAGTGATTTTGGTGGCTAATTTCTTTCCTTCTTATTTAAATGTGTATGGGAAAAATATGACTGTTTTGAATATAATCATATGGAAAATAATCTCTACCCCCCAGATCAAAGAGCTGAGGTAAAATACAGCTTTCTTTTTTTGATACATATGCATATTTCTTATACACATCACACATGATAGAGAGAAAATGAAAAGTTATAGCTCCATTTTCTTGTATCTCTAGGAAGCTATAAAAGTGCATATGTGACTCAGGTCATCTCATAAAAAAATAATATGCAACATATAAAATACAGAGATATTTAATAGGGTTATAAAATCTGGGCTACCTACTTATTTTCTAGTAGCAAATTTATTCATTATTGTCACTATTAATAACAGTAATATCATTATGAATCTGTGCATATATTAAAACAACAGTGTTTGCATTATCCACAGAAGATAATTTTCCCTCTGGGATTTAATTGTGGCTTTTGAAGAAGGAGAGAAGTGCAATCATTATGAAATGCTGAGAGAGTCATCCCTTTCTGCTCATGGGTCTAACACTCATTAATATTTATGTGAAGATTTTCTTTCATGTAGGAAAGGATGGGGTTAAATAGAAGACCCTGCGATGGGGACAACATGTGGAAATGTGTTATGCAGCACAGATGCTGACATGTGGATTAGTAGCTGGGTTGAGAAGAGGAAACAGTTCTGTCTTGAATAAGAAAAGATAACATTTCCATTTTGTGTGTGTGCCCCGAAGTGGGGATTCCACTAGTAAAAGTTCTGTTCATGTAACTCATGAGGCCTCTGGTGTACTATCTGAAGAAAGATCTGGAGACTCAGGATAACTGTGTCCAAATGGCAGGTTTATTCTTGCTCCATTATTGTGACTGTGCTTAGTTATTGGCACACAGTGCACTTTGCCTTAATCTTGGACTAGTGTGGCATTATCTTCTGCTTGGGTTCTCTCAGCTGAGCACAACCTATTGAGGATGCAGCAGCAGACTATTCCTTTTGAAGTCAGACGTGTTAAGCCTTTGGGTCTCTTTTGCTGGAGCACATACCCAGCCACACTGTGAGAGTTTCATACTACTAAGAAGTGATTTTGTGAGCAGTTGTGAGCTAGTTATTAACAGAAGTGGGTGAACTGGGTCAGCCCCAAGAATGAGGCACATAATTTTTAACAGAGAGCACAACCTCTGTATCAAGTTTTAAATTATGTTGTTTTGTTGCTGTTATTTTTAAATAACAAAAGAGTTGTCCACAGGGTTAGCTCAGAGAACTCATGAACTAATTGGATGAGGAATCACCAGGACTGGGACAACAGATGACAAGAAAGAAAATTCAGGATGGAGCTGTCTTTCATACGAGTCATAAACTAAGGTCTTGACATAGTACCCTGGACACTTTTCTGAGTCAGAACTGCACCACTGCCTTGTTTCAGTAATAACGTGGGGATAAAATAAAGCATCCTCCAAGGAGGCATTTAGTGGTGAGCTAAGGCTGAGAGCCTTCAAGGACATTTATCTCCATACTAGCAACGTTTGACTCTTTGTGGTTTCCACAAATCTCTGTAAAAGGCATTGATCACCACTGACAGTATGATTAGAGGAAGCACTGATGCATAGCGTGTTTATGATTAAAAAAAGAAAAAACAACTCACGTACTTAACACATGTCATGAGGAGATTTTCATTCTCCTGAGAAAAGAGAAATTTTACTTATTTAAGAGATATTTTCTGCTTTTGATCCTTTTCTTATATAGTGTTGGCTTTGTTTAATATATAGCCCAGTCTAAGGACTAAGAAAGCGGCCCTTGCCCTGTGACCTTAGTCAATTCATTTTGCTTCTCTGGTCTTCGTCATCCATGCATTTAAAATGAGATTGTTGTTCATCTGATATGTTGGCCACCTCATATCTACAGGATTCTATGATGCAGTCACTGTTTCACACAACTCTTCCAATGTGTCTTTCAGAATTTACCCTAAAGAGTCAACTGTCTGTAGACTGTTCATCAATCATACGGTCCCCAACACTTAATGAACACCTATTAGTTACTTAGAACAGTAAGTCACTCTTGAAAAGGAAAAGGATATGTAATATAAAATTGTGTAAGACATAGCCTCTTACCTCTGAGAATATTCTGTATATTATGTAATGCAAGATGAAAAGTGTTAAATTCCTTAAGGAAGTTACAAAGATGATTATCATATACACCAGGGTTTCTCGACCTCACACTATTGAGACAGGATGGGTCATTATTTGTTGTAAGAGGCTTTCCTGTGCATTGAGTATGTTTAGCAAGCAACTGGAGCTTCTTCCCACTAGATACTAGTAGGATTACCGCAGTTGTGACAACTGAAGATATCTTCAGACATTGCCAGATAACTCCCTGGGGAGAAAAATTGCCCTGATGAAGGAGCAGTAGAGTAGAGGAGGGTAGAAGCTCTCACTGCACTAGAGGAGAACAATAACTTGTGTCGAATTTTCAGAGAAGTTGCCAAGAGGATTCATTTGACCTGAGTCTTAGAGTACGGGGAGTAAGTAAGACTATAAATAAGGTTGTAGTCATAGTTAGCAGGACCTTGATCTTGCCACTGGGGAGCACCCAAGATTTTGAGGTGAAGATTGAGGCGGAGAGTCATTATAAATAGGATAGTGGTTGATCATGGTCTTTGCAGTAGGAAGAATCTGCTTTAAAATCCTGGATCCAAAACTTTGCCAGTTGTATGAGCTTGGGTACATAATCTAATATTTCTGACTGTGATCATGATTAAATGTAATACGTAAAGTTCTTAGCACTATGTCTGGCATAGAAGGCGTATGGTATGATTATCTTGTGAAGCATGGCTCAACCATAGGGTTTTGATATCCTAAAGTCTGTTCATGAGTTGTCAATTGTGTTGTGATTATCTTGTTATTCATAATGAAATACTAACATGTGAATTATTTAATTTTATATTCAGTAGAAAGGAACAACCATATTTCCACTAAACACTCCAGCTCACTGATTTGATTTCTTGACTATTAGAGAAAACGATGGAGTTAAAGCTAGCATATGAAAATTGAGATTTCTGTGTGTATTCATGGAGGGGTGTCATAAGGATATGCCAATCTTAATGTGTGTCGGACTTGCTGCTTAGGCAATTGCTCAGTCTGGGATTAACAACTGCACTTGCCTAGCTGACCAAGTGTAACAGTTTTCAGTGCTGTGATAATGTTGGAATTTGGAAATCTGCCCTCAGTTACGTGGTCTTCCCACTGCTGGACAGAGAATCTTGGGACATGTAGATGTCTGGCCTTGGACTTCTGCTTGGGCACTAGCCATAGAGGAAGAATAGTACTTAGAACTGGAATCTTGGATATAATATATATATATATATATATACATATATATACACACATATATATTAATATATATACATATATACACATATATAAATATATATACATATATACACATACATAAATATATACATATATTTATATATATACATGTATCTTTATATACATACATATATATACACACACATATGTGACACAAGTGTGTGTGGGTGTGTGTATACATACATACATGTATGTATGTATATACTTACTATAGAAATCTAGCTTTTAACATTTTTCAGTAAACTTTATTATTTAGCCATTCAAATCATTTTGCTGGCCCTGCCTTGATTCAGGTATTGTAAAGATTGAAACTGATAGTATCCAGTTTTGAAACTTCCACTTCTGCAATATCAGTGTATTCAAGCCTTGAAATATAGTGTCATGTTAGAGCTAAATTAAGGCAAATTTATATAATGTCCAAAACTGATAGCAGCCAATTCTCCAAGGCCAGCACCCCTTCCAAGCATTGAAAGTTTTATTCCACTAGGGAAATATTTCGCTGCATCACCTGTTAAGTTTGAGTCTTTTTTCAAGGCTGAGTACTAAATGCTCTTGCTGCATAGGTCTGATGCTGTATTGGTGCCAGACCCTAAAACACCCACACGACTATTGCTGGTAGGTGGCAGCTCTGGCAGTGGCTACTTAACTATCTCTGGGAGAGGCCTGCCTGAGGAGAAAGGTGGTAAATGTCACAATAGAAGATTAATTATATATGTTCCGTGTGACATGACATCCCATAGGACTTAGGAACATGTTTGTGGTTTTATAAAGTATACTGTAAATATCAGTCTTGGCTTTGGCTGTGACCCTGCCAAACACGGGGCTAATGTCATTTGTCATATTCAGACGTTGCCTTTTAAGAAACATCCTTGTGCAGGCTGTTACCAAGGTTTGATGTGTTTGACGGCTCTGAGGAAATTGTTGTCCTTATAATAGGGGGATAGAGAGAGACAGGAAACCAGCAGGGGGAGGGAGAAGAGGAAGTGAGCCATGCGATGGAGCAAAAACATGTCACTCAGGGGAATGAGTAAATTATGTTCTTGCTTTTTGATTAATGAAAGTTACTAGACAGATTTCCTTATGTCTTCCAAGACTCTCATTTATTACCCTATTTTTAATGAAAAATCTGTGAGAAAAGAGAACCTGAGAACTTGCCGGGGAGAAATTAGATACTTCCAGTGTTTAACTCCAGTGAGGTTTATTGACATTCTCATTGAGAGACAGGAGAATGAAGTAAAGGGACAGGGGAAGATAATGAGAAGGAGTAATGACACCATTTCACTGTGGCCTGATTATTAGCATACTAGACATTTTCACAGCTATCTACCACTGGGCTTCAGATTTGACCCACACATCAGTATTTGAGTTAAATCTGTATCTTATTTTTGTCAACTGAGTGATCTTTCGAAACCCCAACACCCCTTTCTTGCAATGCCTAAATAATTGGCTTGTATTACTGAATTTCTAGTTCTGGGTAATTCTGTGCATATGATACTCTTCTCAGGCTAAATAGAACATATTCTTGCTTGCAGTAGGCAGATGTTCAGAGCATGAAAACTCATCCAACAGAGGGGCTACAATACATTACCATACATATGGCCACTGCAATGACCAGCCAGTGACTGACTGCCATCATTTAAATAATTAGCTTTATTTTGGAGAATACCCCTTTCACCAGGGACCCTGAAGGTGTAATTCTGTTATTGCCTTTGCTTCTTTCTCTTTCTGTGAGTTAATATAATGTGTAGCTTCTTATGGCTGGTAGTTTAAATCCCTAGTGGCAGTAGGAAAGACATGTGTGATGGGAAAGCCCTGCTGAGGGGAATTGAGGCTTAATCTCCCATTGCTGGAGTTATGATAATCACGTGTATGCTGAGCTGAAGCCACATATGAGGATCCTATGTGGAAGTAGATTATGCCATCAATCTTCCCCATTGCCTGTTTCACCTGCCTTCCCCACTCTGTTTCCTTCTGTTTCTTCATTTCTAGCCTCTATTTTTTTTTCTTTTCTATCTTTTGTTTTCAGATTTACTCTCCAGTTTTTAATATGAGAAATGCTTCTAAGGCTCAGCCACATTGCAAGCAAAGAATTGCCTCTCTGTGATTGTCTTTAGTTTGATTAAAAACTAATTATTCTTCCCATTAATTTGTTCGTTCATTCATTCATTCATTCATTCTCAACAGTTCTTTACTGGGCATTTACTGTGTATGAGATACAGAGCTGAGATGAGAAAGAACAGCCTGTAAGGCACTTACAAATCATTACAAGGAAGTATAGTGAATGTTATAAGGGGAATATTTGCCAAGTGCCAAGAGATGCCATTAGAAGAGATTGCTAACAAGAAGGGATGGGGAAAGATGGGAGAAAGTACCATAGAGCAGTAATGTTTGAGATAAACTTGATGGATTAGTAGGTGGGTCTATCCATTCCAGTCAGAAGCATGTACAAATGCATAGAAGCATAACAGAGCCTTGCACCATGGCATGCAGTGAGAAAAGTAATTTAGTTTGCTACGTCCTGAACCAAAGATCAGAATGGAGTGACTGGAGAAGGGGTTAGTTATATAGTGAGTTTGCCTGGGGCTTCCTATTTGTTTGTTTTTTTTTTTTTTTTTTTTTGTAAATTTAGTAATCGTAGAAATGTGTCATGTGGATTCAAAAGAGGAAGACATTCAAGGCATGGAGATCTATATGGAGACAATTGTAATAATCCAGGTGTAAATAGAAAATTATTATCTGATGTGCAAATAATAGATATATGTGGACAATAATGTGAAAGGATGTGGTGTTTAGCCTTTTGTTGGACAGTTAGAAAATGATTTTTGCATAAGGATATATTGAGCTAAGATTTTAAGGATGGTGGCATGAGGTATAGGTTAGGGAAACTTTCTTTTATATATATATATATTTTATTATACTTTAAGTTCTAGGGTACATGTCCACAACATGCAGGTTTGCTACATATGTATACATGTGCCATGTTGGTGTGCTGCACCCATTAACTCATCATTTACATTAGGTATATCTCCTAATGCTATCCCTCCCCACTCCCCCCAACCCCACAACAGGCCCTGGTGTGTGATGTTCCCCTTCCTGTGTCCAAGTGTTCTCATTGTTCAATTCCCACCTATGAGTGAGAACATGCGGTGTTTGATTTTTTGTCCTTGTGATAGTTTGCTGAGAATGATGGTTTCCAGCTTCATCCATGTCCCTACAAAGGACATGAACTCATCCTTTTTATGGCTGCATAGTATTCCATGGTGAATTCCATAAAATTCACATTTTCCATTAAGAAAATGCGCCACATTTTCTTAATCCAGTCTATCATTGATGGACATTTGGGTTGGTTCCAAGTCTTTGCTATTGTGAATAGTGCCACAATAAACATACATGTGCATGTGTCTTTATAGCAGCATAATTTATAATCCTTTGGGTATATACCCAGTAATGGGATGGCTGGGTCAAATGGTATTTCTACTTCTAGATCCCTGAGGAATCGCCACACTGTCTTCCACAATGGTTGAACTAGCTTACAGTCCCACCAACAGTGTAAAAGTGTTCCTATTTCTCCACATCCTCTCCAGCACCTGTTTTTTCCTGACTTTTTAATGATCACCATTCTAACTGGTGTGAGATGGTATCTCATTGTGGTTTTTATTTGCATTTCTCTGATGGCCAGTGATGATGAGCATTTTTTCATGTGTCTGTTGGCTGCATATATGTCTTCTTTTGAGAAATGTCTGTTCATATCCTTTGCCCACTTGTTGATGGGGTTGTTTGTTTGAAACTTTCTAGATAGGATAGGATAGGAGAGAGGTGAGATCTGGTGAAACTTTCTAGATAGGATAGGATAGGAGAGAGGTGAGATCTGGTTATCTAGAGAGATGGGATAACACTGAGGTGAGAGAGAGTGAGATATCAATTCAATTGGTGTTGCTGGAATAAAACATGGAGAAGTAGGATAAACAAGGCTAAAAATGTAGGTAGGACTAGATCTTAATTAATATTAATTTCATCATCAGTGTTTGAGCTGTATCTTGTAGGTGATGGGAGATATTGAAAGGTTTCAGCCAACAGAGACACAGGAGGACTGCTTTATAAATACCTCACTCTTTCAGCAGTGTAGAGGATGGATTTGAGGTAGACAGGCTTAGAAACAGAGGAATGAATAGGAGGCCTTTAGAATAGCCCAGGCAATAAATGAGGAAAGTACAAAATGGTGGAAATGATGTGAATGGAATTGGGACACAGTTACCAACTCAAATCAAGTGTTTGATTACATATTCACTTAAACGCTGGTGTCTTTGGGTTTTTTTAGAAGCAGAACCTGAGATCAGAATTTAAGTAATTTGGTTTGGAAAGGAAGAAAATGCAAGCACAAAAAATAAGAAAGTAAAACAGAGGAGGAAATTCAGCAAATAAACGGCATATTTTCAAGCAAATTACCAGTGTGGGCAACTGGCACTTAATCCTGCTGAGGAACTTGCTAAGGCAGTAGAGAACACTGTACTCACTATCTAGATGATGGGATCAGTTACACCCCAAACCTCAGCATCACGCAATATGCTTATGTAACAAACTTGCGTGTCTACCTCCTGAATCTAAAATAAATGTTGAAATTATTAAAAACATGTCTTATATGTAAACACATCCCACCTAAGGGGAATGGAGGCAGGATGTTTATAAGCCTACTCTCAGTCATGGGTCAAAGAAAAGGGAGGTTAATTCCCTGGCACTTCTTGCTCTGCTATGTAGAGAGATGCAGATAATGGCATTAGCAAGTCAAGCCAGCATGCACTGAAATGGTAAGGCAGCAGGAATAAAAGCAGGACAACAATATATTCTACCAAAGTTGGAAAGAAACTGGGATCACTCCCACATTTTTGTCTTGGCTCAATGGCTACGTGGTAATTCCATCAATTGAGAGAATATAGTTAAATGCATGGGTTTAGGATGTAAAAAAGACTTAATTCTGGACATATTGTCTTTAAAGTCTCTATAGGATATTCTCTACAGGTGATTATCAATTTCAAGCTCAAGGAAGTTTGGACAGGAGATTTAAATTTGGAAGTCATCAGCATATAGGTAACGTTGAAATAATGCAGACAAATGAGATAACTCTGGTACATTGCTCAGTGAGAAAAAGAGTGGGCCAAGGAGAGAACCCTAGAGATAATCAGCATTTCAAGGGTGTTGGGAAGAAGAGAGAAGTACAACGGAGACAGGGTAAGATGAGGAAAGCGTAGAATCACAGACACCAGGAGACTGGAGAGTTTCACAAAGGAAGAAGTCAGCAGTTTCAACTGCAGTTAAGAATAATATAGAGGCTTAATAATATACATCTAGTAGACATTTATTTGGTCTTTAGTGATCCTAGTAAGAACAGTCTGTAGTAGAATGATAGATGTGAGATTATAGTGGGTTTAGTAGTGAGCCTGCTTCTCTTCTGTGGATGAGATAGAGATTAGGTGGTAGCTGCTATAGGGAGATTTAATTTCAAGGTAGGGTTTATGGCATATTTATAAACTACAGGAAGAAGGAAACAGTAGAGAGTAAGCAACTGAATGCAATGGGAAGAGGACTGCTTAGTAGAGCAAGGTCCCAGAAGAGGCAGTACAAAATGGTTTAGATGAAGGGAATGCCTGGCCAGAAGTGTGGAAGCCTCAACATCTGAGACAGGGAGAAAGGGCATAAGGAAGGGTGTGGGTAAATTTAACTTAGTAGAAGGGGGCAAGTGGAATATATAGAAAAGAGTATACCTTATAGCCTTAGTGCTCTTGAAGATTTAAGAGGCCAGATGCTTTGCTGAGACTTCATGGAGCAGAGTTCAGTATGAGGCTAGGCTAGGGAAGAATGTCTAAGGTTTGCAAGAGTTGTTGTGGAAATGGGAGAGGAAACTATCTGAGTTTGATAAAATGATTGCAGAGGGCCTGCTGA
Organism: Homo sapiens; assembly: GCF_000001405.40. Taxonomy (NCBI): domain Eukaryota; kingdom Metazoa; phylum Chordata; class Mammalia; order Primates; family Hominidae; genus Homo; species Homo sapiens. The sequence continues at coordinate 117,880,231 of NC_000003.12, read as the reverse complement.
TTTTGCAGATTAAAAATTTGTAGTGGCCAGACACAGTGGCTCACCCCTGTAATACCAACACATTGGGAAGCTGAGGCAGGTGGATCACTTGAGTTCAGGAATTCGAGACCAGCCTGGCCAACATGGCGAAACCCCGTCTCTACTAAAAATCCAAAAATTAGCCTAGCATGGTGGCATGTGCCTGTAATCCCAGCTACTCAGGAGGCTGAGGCAGGAGAATTACTTGAACCCAGGAGACAGAGGCTGCAGTGAGCAGAGATCGCGCCACTGCACTCCAGCCTGAGTGAGTGACAGACAGAGTGAGACTGTCTCAAATTAATAAAAAAAAAAAAGTGACCATGTGATTACTTGATTTTTCTCAGCAGTGCTCAGCCACCTGAGTGTAGGAAAAAAAAGACTGAATCATAATACTGGTCTCTGCTTTATAAAGCAGGAGAGACCCACAAGAAAGAGAGGCAAATGACCCTTACTTTTTCTCTAACTATTAGTGTTCTTGTAATTACCACATTTATTATATGAGTGGTCTACATTGTTTCCTTTGCTTCCTTAATACCCATCTTCTCCTTAGATCCTGAAGTCTGTATTTTGTCTTTTATACTCATCTAAAACTTCTTCCTTTTAGATCGATGCTAACATATTACTCATCAAAGCCAATGTACATTTTCCCCATCCTCATAGCCTTTTAGATCTCTCTGCAACATATGCCAGCATTGATTATCCCTTGTTTCTAAAAAAAATCCCTACATTAGTCAAGTTAGCCTAGGTTAAATTGTGGAAGCAAACAAATCTGAAAGTTCATTGAGGCTTAACACAATGAAAATGTTATTTTGCATTCATGCTACATGTTTAGCATAGGTTAGGGATTGGGGCACGGTGCACATAGCAAACACTCCAGAACTCAGGTTGTTGGAGCATCCATCTTATTTGCAATCACCACAAACTTCCACTATCTCCACAATCACTAAGGTAGTAGGAAAGGATTTTGGCAAGTCCTATACTGTTTCTTAGAGCTTCCACCCAAATGTGACACACATGAATGCTGTTCACATTTCACTGGCCAAATCAAATTGCTTGGTCACTTCTAACTGGAAAATGGCAGCAAAATGCAGTACCGTTTAATACGCAACAGAGAGACAGGATATTTGGGAACCTCTTTTACCTACTAAGTGTCCGTATATGCCAAGTTTGGTTCTCAGCCTGGTATTCTTCAATTTCTTCCCAAAGCACTCTCTCCTCCGTTTAGGTGATTTCCAGATTCATGATCCTTGTCCTGACTTACGTCTTTGTCTTGTCCCATAATACTAAATGTATCCTGAATATTTCCACTTGCATGTTTTCCTGTCATCTCAGTTGGAAGGTATCCAAAACAGTACTCAAAAACTGACTTTCACTTATATTTCCTATTTTTGTTCATTCTTTCTCTAGGAGACCCTGTCTCAGAGCCTCAGAAGTCTTATCTAGATCCTCTTTCCCTTGAGGTCAGCATCTGTTTTTACTTCATTATTTATGAACATACACATAGTAGGTGTTCAAAAAATTCCATTTGGTGATTTTATTTTTGTAATTTTTTCTTCTCTAAAGGAAATCCTTTACTCATACTCAGGCACCCACCTCCAGTCACCAAAATGTATTCCCCCTCACCCCCAACATACCAAACAACCAATTCTGTTGCAGATACCTGATGGACGTTTTACAATTTGACCCACTTCTGGCACTATCTACCTAGAGATAGCATCAGATCTGGCAGATTAAGTCCTCAGTCCCACAGGACCATCTCCACTTCAGATGGCAATCGCAAGTCCCAGGTTGTGACCTGTGTTTCTGACTGACTTGCTGTAAATTGGGGTTCCCATGACCTCCTCCTCGGGTTTGTTTAATTTGCTAGAGTGGTTCACAGTACTCAGGGGAATACTTTACTTACATTTACCCACTTATTATAAAGGATTTTACAAAGGATACAGCTGACCAGCCAGATGGAGAGATGCATAGGGCAAAGAATGTGGGAGGAGGCACAAAGCTTCCATGCCCTCTCCAGGCACACTACCCTCCAGGCACCTCTACGCATTCAACTATCCCAGAACTCTCCAAATCATGCAGTTTTGGACTTTGAAGTAGGTTTCATTATGTAGGCATGATTTATTACATCATTGGCTATTGGTGATTAACTCATTCTTTAGCCTTTCTTTCCCTCCCAGTTGTTTGGGAGTGTGGCTGAAAGTTCCAACCCTCTAATTACAGGATTGGTTCTCCTGGCAACCAGCTACCATCCTGAGGCTGTCCAGAAGTCCCCAGCCATCAGTCTTCTTATTGGCACACAAAATGGCACTTGTCAGTTTGGAGATTCCAGAGGTTTTAGGAGCTGTGTGCCAGAAAATAGACATGAAGACCAATTATGTATATTTGATTATAAATCGCAATATTGTATCTTCACTTTTTATTCTTCAGGCTTCAAATAATAATATTAGAACCAGTTTCTGATGAAATATGTTTTCTCTCATATATGATTTTCACTAAGGCCAGAGTAGAATCTGCATTTTATTATTATTTTTAGTTTCAGTACAAAATGGGTATGAATAGTTCATAAATTACAAGTGTATAAGTAACTATCACCCAGATCAACAAATGGGACAATATCATTTCCCAGAAGTTACCCTATGCCACTGTACCCCCACAGACACCAAGAATAAGCACTCTGTAGCAGCATGGATTTGTTTTGTCTGCTTCAAAAATTTATATACGTGAGATTATATGATATAAACTCTTTGTTTCTGGATTCTTTTGCTAAATATTTCGTTGGTAGGAATAATTAATCCAGTTGTATATATCATTGTTCAATAGTATTTCATTGTAGAAGTATACTATATTTGTTTATTCTACTGTAGATGTACCTTTGGGTTATTTCTAGTTAAATATTGTTATGAATATATTTTCTCCATACATTCTTATACATGTATTTTGTTTAATCTGTGTATGTATGACCATTGGTAAAAGAGCAAAACTGCAGGGCTGATATGTTGAAATTGAGTTGTTATTGACAGCTTTTTAGTGAGATTATACAAATTTATACTCCCTCCAGCATGTATAAGACGTATCAGGTGTTCTATGTCCTTGCCAACATTTGAAGTATTTGTCTTTTATTTTAGACATTTTGGTGGATGTTTGGTGGTATCACCTTGTGGTTTTAATTTGAATTTTTCTGATAACTAGAGAATTTGAGTACTTTATGTGATATCACTATTTGAATATCCCCTTTTACAAAGTAACTGCTGAAGTTTCCTGTCTGTTTTTATATTGTCTGCATTTTCTTATTTATTTCTAGGAATCTTTTACATGCTTTGGATATGAGTTCTTTGGCAATTATACTTTACATTATACACTAACATCAATTTCAGATGGATTATATATCAAAGTATGTATTGTAAAATAGTAGGACATCTTTAAGGCAAAGATTCCCTAAATAGAACAAAAAAGTGCTAATCATAAAGAAATAATTGAAAAATTGGACTGCTACACTAAAATAAAGAACTTCTATTCATCAATCAATATTTGTTTCTGTCTAGGATATTTGATTTGTGTTTTCCTCTTCCCAAGACACCTCAGTTATCTGCCTATGAAGATGCCCTACTGTATCCATAAAGAAACACATATAATTATTAGGGTTTACATTATAGTTTTAGTTTTTTTTTTAGGGTTTGAGAAGTTCCAATCTTAAGAAAATTAGTTAATGAGCTCAAGAAAAAAATCAATATTCAGACACTCCCTAAACTTATAACTAAGCTATATTCCAATTGGAATATAAAAATTGATGATTTTGGAATGGTTTCTCTGCTTTTTCTTTTCATATAAGTTTAAAGATGGTTTCCATATTAGAATTACATAGACTGTGAAAGACAGGAATATGTTAGATTGTTCATATTAGATTGTGTTGGGACTTGTTTTGATTAGCAGACCAGTGACCATATTTTTGGCCACTTAAAAAAATAGGTGTTTTGGTAGAGAGAACTGAATTTCTTTTTTGTTCTAAATCTCTTAAATGAGGCTCCATATGATAACCTATATGGAAGGGAGACAGCTAAGAGTTGACATGAAGCTTTGGGGACAATTTATTCTATGCAGACAGTGGAATCCCAGAATGTAATTAAAAAGCCCTATAATTGGATTCAAGAACATATGGTTGAAATCTTAACTACATCACTCAAAACCAGGTGACTTTAGAATGGGCTCTTCACTTTTCTTTTGGTCTGTTTCCTTATTCTTCTAGTGAGAAGATTGTACTAAGGGTAAACTTATTTTCAGATACCTTATTATTGTCAAACTGAAATACTTGAAGCTATCGGAATCCAATTTTAAAGAGTTTATTCAAGCAAAGAGTTTTAGACTAGCCACTCTGGAAACACCAATTCCAAAGAAATGGGATCAGTGCTCTGAAGCAAAGTAAAAGTCTCACTTACATAGGCAGAAACAAAGAAGTTTAGCAGGATTACAACATTGTATATACAAGGCTGGTTCATGAGTTACAGCAGTTTGATTGGTTACAGTCTGTTCCTTTTGGGGAAAGGTATATTTAGCATTGCATCCCAAATGATTTAATAGTCATGGGAACTTTCGTGCCATCTGGTCTGAGTCAGGTACAAGAAAAGATATGAAGGAAGTTTATCTATAACAAAAGATCAGTAACTGAAAAGAAGGGGGTCTGATCTCTGGTGCCATTCAGTCTTTCACATTTTACAAAGAAACAAATATCAGAAAGAAGGTTAATCTGTAATCAAAGAAGCAACAGTGGCTGCTGCTTGCTTTGTGACTCAGCCCTCACAATCACATTTTAAGGCACAAAATAATTTAAAGTTCCAACAGCTTTATTTTGAATTATTTATTTTTACAATATAGTGAGAGATAATGACTTTTTAAAAAATTGACAATAAAGAGATAGTGAAAATGTAGTATTTGAATAGCCTTTTCTATATCTGTAAGAGTTTGTTGTTTCAGTTCTGAGAGCATCTGGAAAAAAGAATGAGAAAGCAAGATCCTACTTTAATTATGATCAGGCTACTTATTGAGGGTTATGTGTTTAGTAAAGATATTCCATCTTCAGAAACAGAAGGCAGAGGCAGTGACTAACTACCAGAGTCCATGAGTGATGTAGAAGACAGCTTTTTTCAAAACAGTAGTCTCTATTCATGGCTACTCTAGCCAGAAAAAGGAATTAGAGATAAGAACCCTAACAGACAAAATTTTAAAAAATAAAAAGAATTGTTATTGTAAAGAAAGAGAGAACATTACCAGAAGACTGAATACAGGAAAACTTCTACAAAAAGCTAAGAAAGAGGAACTACAAATCCTCAAAAATTTTCATCTAGATAAAATAGAAAATACTGTATAGCTGGATTAAAAGGAAGGGGAAAGTGGAATGAATAATTACAAATGTGTGAGCATGAGGAACCGGCAAAGAAAAGAAAAATAGCCCAGGGCTGAATAAAAATAAGGGGAATAGTTATGGGACTGTGAATTACAGATAGAACTTCAAGTGAAGCGGGTGGGATTGAGAAGATGGGAAGGAGAAGAGTGAAAGGCAGTGGATTTATGAGTCACTCACTAGGAACAGAACAAGTTCCTATCTTTAAGTGAGCAATGATGGATAACTAGTGGGAAACTGGCATTGCTTATATGTTAATTCTCCTTAAAACCTATCAGGATAAGCTCTTCTTTCTGTTGGAATCATTTCAAAAGCCCCAAGGCCTCTGTAGGAAGGAAAAAGAGAAAGAGGCATTATACAGTAGGAATGAGGATTAGGGGTGGAGAACAGCTTGGGGGAGGGGTGCTGTAAACAGAGTCTCATTAGCACAGTCTAGCTTGGTGCCTGATTAATTATGGAGCACTTGATAACGTCCTGAAGTCATGGAAATCAGGAGGAAAAGTACAGATAATTGAATGGAATTGAAGAACTGGCAGTGTTGAGAGCGTCATTAACATATTTTTGCTGTTGTTGTTCTTGGCATCTGCCCTTGTCATAATTGACTGGGCTTCAACAGCTGCAAATTTTGGTGGAAGTGAGGAAGAAGAGATAAGAAGAAGAATGGCAAGTGGAAGCTGTTGTCTTTTATAGAAACGCAGAGGTCTATTGGTGTTTGCAACCAGTCCCATTCTATTGACTAGGACTTGCCTTTAACTCTTTGTATCATGAAGAATTAACTTTCGCCTAAAGCATGTCAGGGCCAGTTTCCTATGGAATTTAGCCTAAGTATGTGACAATGGTTCACAAGATAAGTCATTTGGAATCGTGTTTAGAAAGCTGATACAAATCACAAATCTCCTCTGAAGCTATCCCTACTGGGATAGCTTTGCCTGCCATGTTGAATCAGACAAGTCAAGTTCTATTTTCAACAATGAAATAAAACATTATCAATGTGCAAGGTCGGAGTACATATCCCTTTGCATGGCGCTGTGTGTGTGAGTTTTTTAGTTGTCAAACTTTTTATTCTCCCTGTAGATATCTGAGGTTGGTTGTTTATTAATATATCAGAGATAAAATTTAGAGAGAAAATTTACAATGTAAGTATTTTCAGATTAGTCTAGGAGCAAATTTGACAAAACAAATTGAGAAGTTTGTACTCATTTCTTGTCTCTTCCTGGATGAGGAAAGTGGTCTATACCCACGGACTATGGTGCAGTTGTGCATAGAGACTGAGCTGCCTTCTGAGATGCCGAATATGTTCCAGGTCAGTGGAAAATTGCTGGACATGCTCAGTTCTGCCTGTGGCCTGCAGCAGGGTGGTGTGGAGCTGGGAGGCTGCACAGAGAATGCCAAGGTCTGAGGAGCAGCAGCTGCCTTTGCTGGCTTTTTAGTACAGATAATAAAATAGCTTGGAGAGTATCACATGAGATAGAATTGTTCTATAGAAAATACTGCCACTTGGGATACTGCCAAGCTTTATCTATCCCGTGTTTTTCTACTCAGTTAATTTTTTTTTCTCTTCTCTCTTTTTCATTTTTGTTAAAGAAATAGAAGAACCAGTCCAGATTGAATAAAAATTGACCTAAATGTTCATTAGAACACAAGCTTACTCATCCCTCTTAAGATTTATTTTATTTACACAGAAATCGCAATAAAACCCTCCTTATACAATAGCCGTGGGGCATGGATAAACTACGGGGCTGGACTCTAGAGAGAACTCCCAAGCAATGGATGAAGAAGCACATGAGCGCCATTAGTAGCAGTTTCTCTGCATTTTTTTTTTCTTGAAAATGTTTACCCAATGTCTGCTTTGCCTCAGCCAGAAACTCTTATTTTGTTTGTATTTGTTTTCCCATCTCCGTAGAAATTCTACTCACAGATTATTTTATTTATTTATTTATTTATTTATTTATTTATTTTTTGAGACAGAGTCTTGCTCTGTCTCTCAGGCTGGAGCGCGGTGGCGTGATCTCGGTTCACTGCAAGCTCCGCCTCCCAGGTTCAAGTGACTCTTCTGCCTCAGCCTCCTGAGTAGCTGGGATTATAGGCACGCACCATGACACCCAGCTAATTTTTTGTGTATTTTTAGTAGAGACGGGGTTTCTCCATATTGGTCAGGCTGGTCTCGAACTCCTGACCTCGTGATCTGCCCACCTCGGCCTCCCAAAGTGCTGGGATTACAGGCATGAGCCACTGTGCCCAGCTCACAGGTTATTTTTTTAAAGCACTCCAGTATTTCTCTTGGTGTTGAATAGCATTGTTTCAAGAAGTTTTCCCCCCATGAATCACACATTTCTTTCATAGTGGTAACTGGTACAACCAACCAGAAGATCTAGAATGGTTTGTATATGGAAACTGGTAGGTCAACTCGTATCGAACATCTATTCTGAACAGGGCAACATACTGTGTTCCAAGAACTACTGGGCTGTATCTTGACAAGATTAGTGTGCAAAATTTCACAAATACCCAATTACCTAGAATATTTAAGTCTAGCCTTATTAATCACACACGCAAAAAATTCAGGCAGAAATTTTATGATTCATCCTACATTCTTCAGTTTTGTTTTTGTATCTAGGTCTAAAAATCAGGCTTAGACAGCAGTGGTGACTACTTCACTTTTCTTGTTGTTCTTGTTTTTGTATTTATTCAGTTCTGGCATTTCACAGCTTATCAAGAGACGTAGCTTAACAAGAGTCTCCAAGATGAAACTTCTAAATTAGTCAAATGTGTTCTTTGCTGAGCATCATGCTTGCTTCACTGATTTGTTCTAGAATGCCAGTGGGAATTCCTAGGACAGTGCAACCTCTTCTCACAATCACTTTGAACCACTAGGAAAAAGAAATGCATACAATCTGTACCACAGGGCCTGAGCAGAGAAGTTATTCTCTTATTGATTCAATATTCACAAATTATTTATGACACCTTATTTAATAAATTGCAATTTCACTAGATTACAGGCTGAATTCATGAGAATCAGAAGGAAAAGAAGTTTTATTGTCTTTCCAAATTTTATTAGGAATTTTGAAGGAAAGCACCATTAAAACTTAGACAATGACTTTTTGAGAATATTTATTTTTTCCATTAATAGCCTGCTTCTTTGTTGAAATTATTACATACCTAAAGAAATTTTCAGGCAGAAAAACAGTTCTCCACCAGTGATTTGTCAAATCATTAGCAATGAACTCACTTCTCAGTATGTCCTTCTCTAGAACTCAGGGTGATCTTAAGTCGTACATTGACATGGTTTCATATAGCTTAATATGGGAAAGACTACAACTAGACACTGCTATGATAAAATGTAACGGATACTGAGAGGAATCAAGTAATTTCTCCTCAGTTTCTGTATCTTGCACATCAGAGTATTAGCTTCATTTATAAATGATATTCCATTGCACATATTAGTTTAACTTGTGGTTATATGTGCGTTGAACTTCTCTTTGACTTTAACAAATTCATTTGCTAAAATTTTTCTTTTAATTCATGTTTTATTCTCTTTTACTTGCAGGAATAAAATCATTTAATAGTTTAGGATATTTGATGAGCATACTTTGTAATTTAAGAATATAAATGAAATTGTTGTTAGGATTGACACCTCTGAGCCACAACTCATGGCTATGTTTTATTAAAGTAAACATCTAGAAGAGAAGAGGAGTAGACAATTAGACATTCAGATGTTTTGTCAACATGCTGTTAAGTGTCCAAATGTCTTAGAAACATCTGATGTTTGATGATTTCTTTATTCCCACAGCTGTTTAGTGTTGCATAGGCTCAGAGACAACCTGTTAATTTGGAGACCCTGATAATATCTTACGACAGTAGATTTCAAATTGCATAGCAGAATTCATAGTAAGAAATGTATTTTATATTGTGACCCACTGTATTTGTGCATATTCACACGTACATCCACATCCCTCCCAATACAAATAAATAACTGAAACAACAGTTTTACAAAATAATACATAGCCTTTCTACTTGGGATTTCTATTATACTCTATTCTATTGTATTCTTTTCATTATATTGTATTCTACTTCATTCCATTCCATTATTTGAAAACTGAATAACTCTCTGTATTAATTCCATCACAGGTTGCAACTCCTATTTGGAAAACTTTTTATTAGCTTGCACCTGATAAATGTGCATATTTATCATGCTTACAAGCCAGTATGGATATGACTTAATAGCGTATAACCTTCCAGTGAAGTTCAGAAAACTTGTGTGTTACAAGTTTTGATCATGACAAGTACACTATGTTTGTTCACAATGTACCTCCTAACATAAAGTAAGGATCTTTTTAACCTCTATAGTGTGCCCACAAAGGAAAGAGAAGAAGGAGGAGTTTGGGGACAGGGTCTCCCAAGTTCCATTGCTTTTCACCAGTTTTAATTGCCAACCTTAGTTAGGGTTCCCTAGAGAAAAAATCAGCTGTCAATGGCACCAGGCAAGATGTCAATCGCTTAGTATTTGTCAACTACTGGTAGCCATCATTTCCCTATGTCATCCTTTACTTTATCAGGATGGAGGAAACTCAGTACACCACATTTGGCTCTGCAGGTACGGGATGATTTATTGCTCTGCTGTGGACTCAATGTTTGTGTTTCCCAAAAATTAATATGTAGAAATCCTACCCCCAAAAATGATAGTATTAGGAAGTGGAGCCTTGGAATGTGATTAGGCATGAAGACAGAGTCCTCATGAATGAAATTAATATTCTTATAAAAGAGGCATGAGGGAGCTCCCTTGTTCCTTGCACCATGAGAGGTTAACAGGCAGTGATGACCCTTTCTCAATGAGAGAGTGGGCCCTCACCAGACACTGAGTGTGTGGCACCTTGATGTTGAACTTCCCCACCTCTAAAACTGTGAGAAATAAATTTCTGTTGTTTCTAAGCCACCCAGTCTGTGGTATTTTGTTATAGCAGCCTGAATGGACTAAGACTGTCCCATTGTCTGATGCCTTTTTAATCTTGTCTATATCAACACTTGGCACCTTCAAATCATCTGCTAGCACTAAGCATATCACTTGCTTCGTGTCTTGGTGACCTAAAGGTAAAAATGTCAAAGGACATCTTGTTTCTCTGGCAGCCTCCTGTCCAAAGTGTTTAGGCTTCTCATTCAGCTCCGACCATTAATCTGACCACATTACTTTTATAGACCTAGAGCAAATCTCTCTAGGGTCCTCATTACCTTTGGAGGTCACAAACAGTGAGATCTTTAAACAAAGTTACTCTTACCAATCCTAGAGAAAAAAGAAAATCTCTCCTGCCTTTAACAATTTCTATGGAAGAATAAACCTCAGGCCTTCATAATATACAGCAATATTTTTTTCTGAAAGATTTTATTTGCTTCTTTCTTAAATCATTCTTGCTTAAATTTAAAAATATTTTCTTATTTTCTCTTCTTATGGAAATGGAAAACAACAGTTTCTCACCACATTTGTTAAAACAAAAACAATTTGAAACCCTACATATTTATGCATTTAATTGCAGGATGAATAATAGCAACCTCTTAAGTTCTTCCTCAAATATTTTCAATAAGTATTACCCTTATAGTTGCATGTCTTTGAAATTATTTTAATGTCCTCACTTTTATTGTAGAGGCCAGAAATCTAGGCAGGATGGTAGTCAGTATATGGCATGACTGTGAGCGTCAAAGTTCCTCACCTTCCAGTCACACATCCCAGCTTTAAAAAAAAAAAAAAAAAACACTGGTTTAAATTGTGTAGCTGCAAAGTACATATTTCTTCAATAGATACTTTTTACTGCATTGCTGTTTGGCTAATAAATGTTCACTCTGGATTCGTCTATTTGTTTTTCTTCTTTATTTTTCCTTTGTAACCACAGCATTACTCATGTTTATTCCCAGAAATTTTCATTTGTGTGTAACTACTACTCCAATTTCTCAGGATAACTTTGAATCCTATTCTGATTTCTTTATTAATTCTAAAGTTTGTATAATCTGAAATGTTAATAATCATCTGTATTCTATTATTCAGGTAGCCAATGAAATAGTCTTATTTTCAAGGCTAATATCCCAAACGCCAATTGTTAAGTGTTTTCTAGACAATGATCTCAATGGATGGTTTCTTGGCATGTGTCTACAGCCAGCTGTGACTATATCATGCAGGAAACTAGTAGTTCTGTGATCTTGATACTCTTCAGTATATGGAATTCCCATGGCAGTTTCACATTTACCAAAAATCAATGAAATATGTTAAGAATTACAAAACGTTATGCCCATATGGAAAATGCATTGGCTGCCATTTGGTTTTCAGATGGTATACTGAAGACAAAATTGAATTTAAGTTGTTTCTTGTTCCTTTTATAGAGTATCACATTTGGTCAGATTTAGCTCATTTAAATGTTATTGTGAAGTTATCTAACACACCGCAGGTACTAGCTGTACATACTAACTGAACTCTTGGATGTAAGTGTTGGTCAGAAGGAATACTTGTTGTGTTCCATAGGTACACTGGAGACCAGGTGATGGAGACATCTGGTAATGAAAAAATACAGGGAATAAAATATTCTCCTAGTTTGAAAATGTTATTTTAGTCTTTCACCTGCTTTCAGGATAAAATGTACAAGATGAAAATGAAAAGATAACAAGGATATCAAACATAGTCTTTTGCTATATAATACTATTACAGATAGTTAATGGTCCTTGGACTGGGGTGAACAGTGGGGAGAAGAACATTAGGAGAAAGCAGTGCTTTGTGAGTCCTAAATATTGAAGGAGTAATAACTCAGAAATGACACAATGTAGACAATCTCCGCATGTATGATGGAGAAGTTCATTAATTATCTCTCAATTATTTCTCCAAATTTCTCTAAGTGAATCTTGGCTATTTATAGTTTTTATGTATATTATACATCCACTTCAACATACAATTTGTACATAGTTCTTTTTCTTCTCTAGGAATGACATATTTTCAAATATATTATGAGCAGGAATGCATAGACTTGCTGATAAGGGAGATATAATGTAAGGATTTATACAAATGAAACCCAGTGGAGCATATTTACAGTTGTGTTCATTCTGTTAGTCGAGTTTATTCCAACACTCACTAGGTATTTATTAATTTCATATTTTGTACAGCTGGACATGGAGGGGATAAAAGGAAACATTGAATACAGGGTCTGCCTCCCCGAAGTATACTGATTACACGGGAATACAAGTCATATTTTTATGAAACAGTGCATAGTAACAAGAGCTGGTATATATTTAGGCCAAAATTAGCAATAAAGAAATGGATATGAGCTTCTGTGGTCTGTGTGGATTAGATAAAGCTTCAGAATTACCCACCTAAAACTGCGAGCTTCCCCTAGGCCAAATTCTAGGACAGTTTTCTTTTTAGGGAACGAAAATTTGTGAAGCTTCAGTCCATTCATCCAGATGACTCAGAATCATGTCAGTCTGACTACAGGTCCTGCTGTATCCTGTGCCCAAGTTCTAAGGCTTGGGGTCCCCAAGTTGTATCTGGGATAAAGCCATAGTCATATACTATGCTGCCAATTATTTAATCTCATTCTGTACTTTTGTGCCTTTCAAATAAGTAATGTATAATATAATTGCCAAAGCAAATAATGAATTATTATATTTTAGGTAACCATGTTTTTGCAGATTTGTGAACAACATGTAGGTTAGAGGTTGTAACCTAAACCCCATTAGGAGGATAACCCAGGGTGGTGGATTAGAAGATAAATATGTTGGAAGGCTCAGGGCCTCCATTTATGGTATTTTTTATTTCTGAAATGTTTAATCATGTTTACAATTATGTCAACTCAGGTAGAATTGTGCCAATGGACTGAATAAAAAATGAGGGTTAAGCCACTAGAGGACAAGAGGATGAAAAGAACATTCTATAAGAGGGGAAAGCAAGATGGGTCAAAGGATGGGACTGGTACTCCACAGGGCAGACACCATGCTGTATTTTTCATTGTGTATTCAGTGCCTGACACAGTAACTTGAATATAGTAGATATATAACAAAATCTGCTTAATGACAGAGTGAGAGAGAATATCAGATTTGGGATTCTGGAAGTGGAGTAATTTTAAATGATGATGAAAATAAAGAGCTGGTGCCACTAGTGGCTGCCACGATTGAGGAGATGGGGCACCAGAGCATCTCCTGGACATTGAACAATTGCAAAGTCAGAATATTGCCTTTAGGGTGTGATTTCATCACCAAAAATGGAGAATGGAAACCTCAAATATAATAATGCAGAGAGTAGGTTTAAAGCCCACCAGAGACGAAGAAATAAGAAGGTCACTCATCCTAACCCCAAGGTGGAGTGGTGGGGTACGGGAGGGACATGTAACAAACTTAGAAAAGACTGGATGTTGCATGGTAATTTTGGTAAAAGATATTTAGCAAGAGAAACACATGGTCCTAATAAAAAATGAGAATTTGTTCAGAACCAAGTATATGTTCCACATAAAATAGGAACACATAGAGCCACCCTTGGAAGAAAGAGCCTGGGAGGAATGACAATGATCTGAATAAGATCAGTTGAAAATCCAGGAACTATAAAGAGAACATGAAAGTAATAATAGAAATTAGGGAAAATACTGCAAGGGAAAATGGGAAATATACAGATATGTATTTTGCTACAATTATTAAGTATCCAAGTGGAAAGATTCAGTGAGTAGATGAACACAAATGAATGCAATCATTTCAAATGTTTTATAGTATCTATCATTTTGATTACTTTCTCTTCTATTTTAAATACTTTGCAAAAGAAATGGGCACGATGACAAAACAAACAATGAGTCAATGTTGGAGGCAAATTAAAGATTAAGATATTAAAGATAGAATTTTGTGAGCAATTATTATGTGTTAGGCAGGGTTTGAAGAGCTTTAAAGGCAATTCATGTAATCCTCAAAAAGGTATTGTCATTAGGTACGTACCAGTATTGTCTCTAATCCATGGGACACAATAAAGGTAGATAAGTCAGCCTACGTTTACCCAGAAATGTAGTAAAGGAGCTAGGATAGGAACCTAACCAAAGTTTCCAACCACTGTGCTATTTCACTTCACTATATTAATGTGGTTTTTAATATTAAACCTCTCCGACAACTATCAACCTTTCCCTGTGATTGCGGTACTCTCCTCTTGGCAGAGAGTATTCATTTTTCTACATTTAGCGAAAATGGGTAGAATGGTTTAAACAATAGAGTGAGTAAACACTGACAGAATAATGTGAACCAATGTGCCAGTATTACAAAGAGATGACAGATGACACATCATCATTCAATGTGACAATAAAATGTGATGGATTTCCTAACTACCCAGTCTTTCACTGACAGGCTAGTCCCTTTCTTTCTGATGTAGCTTGATTGTCTGGCCTGCAGGATGTTGAATAGCCGTAGTGTTAGAAGCTACTATGATACACTGTCCATCACTCAGGTAAGATGAACTAGGTTGTAGATAATCCCTAAACTTTTCCTAAAATTATCTTGTTTGTCTATGCTATCCTAAGTGGACCCAATATCTACAAAACCTAATTAATTATAAGACCCAGGAAATGAGAGATGTATCCAATAAGACTGGAAGATTTGAAATCCCTAGATTGTAAGCTACTTGAGAGCTACTAAGAACGATGATCAGATCATTTCTTCTAGTGCCATGCCTAACAAACAGATTCTCTATTAGTGTTTATTGAATTTAATTAAATGTAAGTAACAGAGAAGAAATAAAATATTTTATATGACATGTGTAAAATTATAGACTCTTACTAGCATTAATTTAAAATGCTTATTTAGATCCATATTTATTGACTTGGAGTAATGTTCACAGTACACTGTTGGATGAAAAAAAAGGGAACATTCCAAAATATAACATATACTAAGATTAATTTATGTTTCCTAGCTAGAATACTGTATATGTATAGTTCTCTATAACTGAACAATTTTTAGGCCATATAGTATAGTGGTTCAGTATGTGGGCTTTGGAATCAGACCACCAGGATTTAAAATCATGATACCCTTTCCTTCAGTTGAGTAACTTTGAGTAAATTACTTAATTATTCTGTGCCTCAATTTTGTGACTATAAAATGGGGTAACAATAAAACTTACCTCATAGAGTTATGATAAACATTGAAAGAGATCATATGTATAAAAATATTTACTCTAATATCTGGTTTATAGTAAACATGCAAATAATTTATTATTATATCTTGTTGTTATGGAAGGAATGTGGAATAAGACTTACCCAAATGTTGTCTTTTTTCCTCTTTTATTACTTTAATTAAGAACATAATTTTATAATTTGATAACAGTAAAGCATTTTTTGAAAATTTGAGGAAGATAATGTTTTGTGTTAGAAGGAAATTTAGATGGTATTTATCCCGTTTTCCAAGTACAGGAACCCCCAATGTAACTTTCCTAAGATACTAACATTCAACCTCTGCAGAAGCTCCTCATGCTACCTCTTAACTAGACTGTAAGGTTTCTAAGGACAGATCCTATATCTATATCCTATATCCAGATTCTATATTCTATCCAGTCTTTTTTGAATGCCCCATGGAGTAATCACTGCATAAATTGTACTTTAATGAGGTATACTTAGAGAAATCAAGAGCCTTCTGTCATTCCCTCCCAAGATATAGCTGCCCTACCATGGGATATACTCTGGTTTTTAATACAGTTCTCATTCTCCCTTCACATCTGAGAGGATTCCAGTAAAATGGCTTCCCAGGGACTGAAGGAAAAAATACCCATCCCTAGCCACTCCCCTGGGTCTTTTTCACAAGAAGAGGTTATATGAAATTTTAACTTTTCTTGGCATCATTAGCCTTAACATCTGTCTCTCAAACAGCAGCCGAGTCCTTAAAAAGCGGATTAAGAAGATTGCAGCAGGAGTATAACACGAAGGATTGTCCGTGAGGGACTATCTACAAGGGTTCTCTACTCTCTACCCCTCACAAGTTGCCCTACAAAAATGTTTAATTCAGTAGTTCTCAGAATCAACTTGGCATCTTGGGGAGTGGGGAAGAAAAGAAAAGAAACCTGTACTTTAGAATGCATATTACAGGTTACCTGTAGGACTTGGGGTTCTTAATTTGGTATTAATAGTCTGTTAACAACTCCCCAGTCTTTACCCAGACTCCAATTACTTGCAGCTCTAGCCATGCCTAAGTGTCTTCCAGGAGTAAACCTTTAGCTAGAAATGTCCCTAACCTTTGGGTAGTACTGCATGCTGGAAGCACTTTTAAGGGAAACACTAAAATATCTGTGGAAAGAATAAAGTTGAATTAGTGATTATGTAGCATACAGCTCTCAAAGAACTAGAAGCCATACGCAAGACTAAACAATACACATGTATTGAAAAAGATTAGATATATACCACTTACTTTCTGCCAGGTGTTAAGCAGATTGGACTTGGTTTTGCCCCTTCAAGGTTATGTTCACTCTGTCACTGTGAAGTAAGCCCTACCCTTTGAGCAATCATTCGCACATGAGCTTACAAAGCTGCTCACACAGGGCCAGAGAATAACAGCAAACAGCCTCAACTCAGGCAACTCCTCTGTTCACTAGGAACACATTGATAGCCTTCCTGTTCCTCCCTTCTTTAGGTGACTTCCAGGATTCTTCCCTCTTGTTATCTACCTGGACTTTGGGCACCTCTAAGCTCCATCCTTCAGTTGACCTCTTGGCTTGCCCTGTAGAAAGACACTGTTGCTCTGCTGAGACAGTAATTTAAAAAATAGCAATGTTGAAGAGTGTGTCAAAATACCAGGAAGATGCTATTACAATATATTTATAATCTTCTGAGAAGCTCTTTCCATAGAAGAAATGAGGACTTTTTTTTTAAACTCTGGGAAGTATTAGATTGTTCTGTTGATTCTGATGTTCTCAGAAGACATGAACTTTATTGTGGCTTTCCTTACATCACCAATGCAACATCAGGACCCAGTAATAAACACATGTCTGTTTGTCACATTGATCCTTATGTATAACCCGAGACTGCCAGTAGCCCTTGAAAATTGTTGAAATCCATGGATGCCTACTTGGTCCTGTCTGGGCTACTTGTGAGATCTATACCTCAATTTCCTCATCTATAAACTAGGGATACCACTTTTTCCTGCCTCTTACTGAGGATTAAATGAGGAAGCCCTCAATCAGGGTTAGCTAGTTTTGCTATTTTCCTTCCTTTACTATCTAGATGTTTTTTTCCTCCTCGACACTCTTTCCTTTCCCACTTCATGAGCTTATTCCATTTTTCCAGCTTTTAATTTTGACAAAGCCTTGTGACTTTGGCGCCATCATCAGATCTTCAGAAGTTCATTTGCCATTTTTATTAATTTCATATTATTCATTATTTATTGACATATTTAAATAAAAAATTCAATTAAGAGTTACATAAATCTCCTGTTTTCCTTGGTAACTATAGCATTTGACAAAGTATTGCAAATACTTTTTTTTCTCTTAAAGAAAAAACAATGTTCAGCATGCTATCTCCAATTCCATTGTGAAAAATATGTATTTTCAAATAATCATGATTGTAATGGTTTTACTTTCAATATATAAATATAACAAGTATTATTTTAAAAACACATTTTTACAAATGGTGGTAAAAGCTGAATTTCCACTATTGTTGGTTTGATTAACATTATTCTTACAATCTTACAAGTGACAGTTTTCGCATTAATTAAGTTTGTAGGAAGCCCCAGAGAGAGGCTTTGCTAGAGATATTGTTAAAACATGACTGTACTCTTAGGGGTCAAGAATTTAGAATAGCTCTAGCTGGCAGTAATCTGCTTTTTGAAAGAACATGAATGATTGAGCATGAATAAGTGGGGCCATATTATAATTGTCTGAAAAAGGCTAAGGACTACTCTGTTTTTTCCGTATTCTCTATTTTCTCTCAACTTTGCACAATTCACATAGCGTAACACAACTGAACTATGTATCTGGCATATTTTATTTATTTATTTTTTCAAGAAGGTGTCTCACTCTGTTGCCCAGGCTGGAGTGCAGTGGTCAGGCATGGTGGCGGGCGCCTGTAATTCCAGCTACTTGGGAGGCTGAGGAGGAGAATTGCTTGAACCTGGGAGGCGGAGGTTGCAGTGAGCCATATTTTATTTTTACCAGGGCATCTCATAGCATGAACATAGAGAGACTAGAACTTATAGATATCTTTTGCACAATTATAGTAAATAAGATGAAAATATGCATTTTTATTCTACTTATATCAGATAACTGAAAACTTTTTCCTCATAGTAAGACAATGACTCTACTTTGCGAGTAGGTATTCTTTTACATTTATTATATTTAATTTTTATATCTGTCATTATTCTAATCATCTAATTTGAGATGAAATAAACTGGTCAAGATTTAGGTATTTGTTCAAGCAGTTTTTGAGGTTCCAACATATGCCAAGCCCTCTCCCAAACCATGGAGATAGAGATGAAGAAGACATAAGCCACATCTTTCATGAGCTTTTGGTGTAGAGGAAGGCAGACCTACAAACTAAAGTAAATGTCAATACATTTTTAAATGCCGTGGTGGAATTATATAGAGGGTACAGTTGTGGCTTTAAGGAAGGAGCTGTCAGTTATATAAGGAAGTATTGTTTAAAGGAATGATTCTTAAATTTAGTTGTCAAAAATCAAGATTACCCAATGAGGAGAAGCAGGAAAAGAAAAAGAAAATCATTCTAGCAGAAAAAAAAATTTAAAAGCATAAATCAGTATGGGGCTTGGCAAATGAAGTTCAGTAGACTGTGGTATAGATAAGGCTATGAAACAAGCATCCTTAGGCAATATAAGCTTTACAGGATCTGACTTTGAAGAATATGATCTGATAGTTGTATCTGAAGATCTTAAAGAGGGTAAAGGATAAATTCAAGATAATATGAAAATAATTAGTCTCCTGTTGTAATCCAGCAGAGAAATGTAGAAGCCAGCAACTAAGAGTTCTTGATAATAGAGGATCTATTCAGGAGCTTTATAATGGAGAGAGATTAGCAAAAACTTTGACCTTGATTGGAGATAAGGGATGAAGGATAGGGAAGGAATGGATGAGTTGGTGATGGCCATAGGCAATGTGGTTTTGGGTCACTCAGTGGATGATATTGTCAATAATTGATGAAGGGAATGATTTAAAAAACAGAGTTTTGAGAAAAGTTCAGTTGGTGGCAATAACAAATCATCTTCAAATTTACCAGTTAAAGTAACAAGCATATATTACCTCATTTTTTCTTTGGGTCAGAAAATTGGGAGTAGCTTAGAATAGTGGTTATGGCTCAGGGTCTTTCATGGGGTTACATTTAACATGTTGGCCAGAGTTGCGGGCATTTGAAGGCTTAACTGAGGATCAATTTCCAAAATGGTTTGCTCATATGGCTGTTGGCAGGAGCCTACTTTTTGTCACATGTGTTTCTCCATAGATCTGTTGTGTGTCCTCATGACATGGTGCTTGGCCTTTCCTAGAACAAGTGATCCAAGAGAATCTAGGAAGCCACAATGTCTTTCATGACACAGCCTCTTGAGTCACAAGTTGTCAGTTCTGAAATAGTGCTGACCGGTAGTTATATAGTTCAGCACAATTTAATGTGGGAGGGGACGTCAGAAGGATGTGAGTACCAGGAGGCATGGATCATTAGGGCTATCTTGGAGGCTGGGCACCACAAGGCGTATGAGTTTAAGTGACTGGAAGTGCCAAGCTCGGTAAGTAGTAAGCAGTTGGATATATGGGTCTGGAGCACAGCGGGAGAGATCTGTTTTGAGAAAAGAATGTCTAAAAGTCAATGTTAAAGTCAAAAACATTTGAAAATGTCTGCATTCAAAAGCTGGTCAAAGGGAAACACTATCTTCGAAAATCTGTGACGGAAGGGATCAGGGAATGAGGACAGTAGCCACAAGAAAAATTGTCGCCCTGAAACCAAAAGTGGTGAGTTTCACATGGTGCAAATAAAGATTAGAAAAAGTACATTGGATTTGGTAATTGTGAGATAACTAATGACTACTACCAGTGAACTAGGAGAAGAATAGAAAACCAATGATGCAGAATATGAAACGAAATTGAAGAAATGGAGGCAGTAAGTAGTAATCATATTTTCAGGGTCTTGGCTAAAAGAGAAGGAGAAGGAGGTAATGGCAGTAACAGGAGTGAGGATCATGGGTGTGATGAGAGGAAACTGAGGGTGTAAGGAGAGGAAGACAAAGCATTTAGGAAACAGAGAGGTGACTGAAGGAGGAAGGCCCTAGGGGACACAGATTTTCATAGCAGGAGTCTGCTAAATTTGGATAAAAGTTTCCTCTTCCTTTGAGGTGAGTTTCTGAAAAGGCATGAAATAGGTTATGGGCATTATTAGTGGGAAATTGAGATTGTTCATGCTGGGGAGAATCAATTTTCTCTGAAAAGTATAAGAGTTCTTGTGACAATGTGATTTAGAGCAGTAGAGTTGAGGACCTAAGAAAATGGGTAGTTAAGAAGAAACTGTGAAGGGTGGAAATGGGTGACTACCCCAGGATGGCCAAGTGTCTCAGGGGCTCCACTGAGATTGAAAATCATATATTTATGGTGACACTGATGGGTACTTCTGAACTTAAAAATATGGAGTTCAGAAAACTAGGAAAAAGAGGTCATGTTGTTTGGTGGTTTAAACCAACTCTGGAACTGGGTTGCCTGAGTTTAAGTGCATTTCTGCCCATAAGGCTGTTCAATCAAAGGCAAATTCACCTGTCGGGCTCTTTCCTCATCTGCTAAGTGGAGGTAATAATAGTATCTGCCTTACAGAGTTGTTGTGGGGATTAAATAAGTTAATATATAAAAAAACAGTTTTAAAAATATGGTATATGGTGAACATTCAATAAAAAGTAGTTATTATAACAAGGGTTATATTTTATTGGTATTAGAAAGGTTTACTTTCAAATCTTTCTTTTTTTTAATAAACAGTATAGTTTAGCTTTAAATATTTTCAGCAACAAGTTTTAAATACAAAAAATAAATTTTCTTGGATGATTTGTAACCTGGCTTTGTAGATTAAAGAGTTTCATTTAAGTGCTGAAAGAAAATACAAAGACTGATCAATAAGTCAACAACTAAATCCACCACATTATACCAGACAGTATACCAAACACTCCTGTCTGCCTTGTTACCTGTCCCTGCTTTTTGCAATGCTTTGTGTAGGTATTCTAGACCCCATATCATTATGACTACTATTCTTGTACCTCTTCATTTTTTTTGAAGTCTGTTAAAATTACTATTTTTTTAAAAAATTACTTTTCTTTATAGAGATCCTTCTGTTAATTTCAGGGGGTTGAGCATTCTGAAATTAAGCATAAGTATATACATCAATTCAATACTCAATAGAATTTCATTCTAAAATTGTTTTTCAGTCTACCAGAAATATCTGGAAAAGCTTGATGAAGTATAAGAATTGTGTGAACTAAAGCTCAGCTTTAGTATCTAATGTCCATGTTTTCCTATGTGGTTATGGCCGGGAGAAAATTTGTTTACTTTTTTTATTCTAACGGAAAAGCTGAGTTTTCTGAAATGAGATACTATGGTCATAAAATGGAGCAGTTGGCACGGATTCAGGTTAGACCATTGGAGAAAGGTAAGTACATTTTCAGAAAGGACTAGGAAATAAGCCCAATTTTTGTAAAAGCATCATCATATCTTCTGTATGAAATAGATTACAGCATTGTACTTTATTCTGGACTGATCTGGACATTAGATTTTGTTTTGATGATGAATTTTCTCCTTAACTTCTCAAGCATAGGAAATGAAGAAATTAGCAACTACTTTGCAAGTCATTGTGAAGATTAAATAAGTTAATATATGTAAAGCATTTAGAGAATTATTTTGAAGAATCACTAATCAAACCTACGTTTGCAAAATAAATTATAAATATTGAAAAGAACCACTAGTGTGTGAATGCAATTTTTGTATGTGAAATAAATGGATTATGTAGTTCATTTTATATGTATATTAGTTGTAATTGTGGAGCACTTTAGAGATCAGTTCAACCTTAAAAATGAAGGGGAAACTCTAGGATGGGAAAGTAGTTTAAAAACATCAAACAGGTTATTGTCATACTGTATACATTTATGTCAAATAAATGCACATAGTGAAATGTTTTTGATTTTTTTTTAACTTAGTGCTATGACCCTCTTGAGGTTGAAGTGTGACTGCCTCAGCTTATCACAGGTGTGATCCCCAGGCTGAATAAGCATAGTGATGCACACTCCACAATTTTGGGCAAGCCCTGTGGATTTGCCTGCTTTCCTACACGTGCTGCACTTGGTGCAGTGCTGTGCTTGTAGTGGCTCACATTAATCTCTTGATTCTGTGGTTAATTAAGATATATTTTGCAGCACAGACCACAGATTCCAAGGCTCAAAGGATTAGTCGATAGTTTTCTGCAGCTCTGCCATTAGCAGAGCAAATTAAAGACATAGCTTGTTTTCATTAAGAATGTGCATATTTTCTTATATTTCAGGAAATTTGATGTGCTGCCATAGCAGTTGGAGATGGAGAGAAGTAGGCAACTGTGATAAGGTAGAAACATAAATGGACTGGGGTTCTAACCAGAGCATTACACACTGGGAAAACATGGGCGGAATTAATCTGTCTGAACCTGAGTCCTCATCTATGAAAAGAAGACATCTCTTGATACCAACATCATAGGATTGTTGTAAGCATCGGAAAGTAATCATGAGAGTAAGAGAAAGCACTTTGAAGTTTAGGAAGCATTATGTGTGATATTTGGAATAGTTATGAATCAATGAAAAGTTCAGAATATTACTTTAAAATATACATAGGAAGAAAATGAGACATATATTGATAAGTGAAAATAAGTCAACAGTGAAAAAACTGGAGTCACAGGCATGAGAGGAAAACAATGCAGAAGAGTGAGAGAAAAAAGCTATAGCTTTACCGAAAAATCAAATATGGTTGCATGTAGGGGAAGATAAATAAAGAGGCGGGATAGGAAAAGCATTACGGAAAAACAAAGGGGAGTGTTTACTTTTAGCAACTCCAATCCACTTGGACTGTTGTGCTGCTGACATTTTAGCTATTTCTGTTCAGGGGACTACTAAGGTCTGTCCTCGATAATGCAGGTTCACAAAACTCATGCCATAGCAAAATGAATGACCCCTTACTTTTCCAAAAGCTCTTGCTGGCTAAATACAACAGACTCAAGGCTGTTATCTCAGTGGGCCATACATGTCTCATGGCCATAACTCTGTCAGCAGCACACACTTAGCCAATTGTGTTATCACCATAAACCTCCAAAGCATCTGGCAAAAGGTACTTGCCATTACCACATTGGTCTACTACTATGTTTATATCTCCCTGGAAAGAGACATGTCTATGGTCACCAGCAGCTGAACTATTGCTTTTAAAGGAAAAGAGCAATGGAATTTGGATAATTTTTAAAGGAAATCTTTGGCTACTCAAGAGCTGGCCTATGCAAAGAATTACAAGTACTGTGTTCATTTTCAATACGTAGGTATAAAGAAAAGAAAAGAATGTTTGACTTATTTCACTGCCCATATGTGAGGGAATTTATTTCAGAGAGGTAGGAGAAATTAACATATAACTAATTAGCTGTGTAGCTGAGACGCAGATGTATAAGAGAATGAATTTTGTCTGTTTTTTGACTAATGTATTTTAGTCCCATCTATCAAAGCTAAATCACTTAACAGTAAAGTTGGAAAGAAACTGGACTTTAGTTTCAGGTAACTATTGGGTAAATTTGTCCAGAGTTTCCTAAAATTACAAAATGAATGGATGCCAGGTTTAATTTTTAATGAATATTTATTTGAGAAGTTTTTTTTTCTTTTTTTGCCTTTAGCCTTTAAGTAAATGAATACATCAGGTAACTTTATGAAGACTCTAATTTCTTCACTATGATTTCACACCCTGGTGGATAGTGAGGAAGCATATGTTAATGATGACATTATGATTCACTTACAAGTATAACACATCTACTATTGGGATTACCACATTTGCTGATATAATCTAAATTAACCCTTCAGATTCACATATGAAAAATCTCAAACGTGTGTAAGCAAAACGAAGTGGTTTACCCCTCCATAAGAACTCATGTATCCTTTCCCCAAAATTATTTTACCCAAAGGGCATGAAATATTTGTTGCCTAAATCCCAACAGAATGCAATTCAGGAATAAATTCTAAATAAGGCAATATTAAAAAAATAATTTATAGCACTGCATATGTCTTCTAAAGTACAGAAAATTCTTAGAATTCTAAGATTTCACAGTCCAAGTTTTAAAGATTTATGAACAACCCAAAGGTATATTTCAAGTGATAATTTATGATATTACCAAGTCTAGAATTTGGAACACATGGTAGAAGCCTGGTGTTTAGAAGCCAAACGCTGGCTCACGACCCAGTAACCACAGTTCAACATGAGTTCAGTTCCCCATTTATTTCCATGGATTCTTAAACTCTCACTGAGGATCTGAAAAGGTCACTTTACATCTTATGGGGGAAATAATATAATATTAAAGAGTTTGGGAATTAAACAAGCTCTCAAAAGTAAATAGTAAGAATATTGAGGGTGATTTTTTTTTAAATTACAATGACTTCACTATCCTTATCTCAACCCCTCACTCTTTCCCAAACCCCGGGAATTTCTGCATAGGACTTAAGCCAGAGTTACAAGTAAATATCAAATATTAATTTCTTTAGTAAGTAAAGAAACTGTGATTCAAATCTATATCTGACTTTCAAACCCATAATTCCTTTTATGACACTTTGCCACACTGTTTGTTATACATATCATGTTCAGGAGTTTGGTTCTCTCCCAAACTCAGATCCTAAAACCCTGCTTATCCCTCTGTATGTGAGCTCCAGAGGTGCCTTAAAGAGTATTTAGGTACTCCAAGTATCTACTCCTCTTTCTCTCTGAAAACACTGTGACCTCTTGGGATGGGACTTCCTGGTAAAAGATAAGAAAGCCAGGGACTCTGCGGTGCTGCTCTACTTTTATTTTTCAAAGATTAGACACTTTTGTAAACTTAAGACTTTTGCTTCTGGGGAGTTCAGTGCTGGCTTTCTGGTGTATTCTGCATCTTGCTTTTGTGGAAACAGAGCCCTGGGTCACTCTTAACACACTCTCCGGAGAGAAGTTGTATATCTCTCATATCCCACAGGCATCCCTACATTTAGGCTGAGAAAGAAGCTGCTAATGGAGTTTAAAAGGTTACTGTCATTAATGAAAAATAAATTTACAGCAGATGGCCTTCCTTCAAAGAAGGAACACTCAGAATGAACATTGTTAGATGAAATGAAAGACAGATTAGTCTTTGCAGTGCTTTCCTAGTGTGTTTTTCCCATTTCTGTTCATAAATGTCTGCCACCTTGGAGTCCTCCCTGGAACCTGATTAGACTTCACGGTCTTCATAATGTTCGAAGGTGAGCTCAGATCAATTTCCTGCATCTTTCCTGCCATGGTAAATCATTTATTGGGATGAATGTTTTACAAAGCCAGGCAAGAAGAAAACTCATGAAAAATGAATATGGTAGAATACACTATGCTGTCCTCCAGTGGTCTTCCAGGCTTCATCGTGTTTCAACTCTCGATGGCAGTGAAGCAGGTAGAACATTTCCCCTCATTTGGTCTTGCTGTGGCCATTTGAACTCAATTAACACATGATGTCATTGAGGCCAAGAGGCTGCGTTTTATTTATTTACATATCATTTGATTCACTCTGTTCTGAGGCCACAGATTTGTTAGTCTGATATAGCAAGCAACAGGGACAGTTAGTCATCACAATAGGGAGCAAGCTAGAAGTGGATGGATTAATGTTTACTCATTCTTACTGAAGATAAAGCAAACAAATGCAAGCAAGGACACTGACTCACTGGGTAGGTCATTAAGCCTTATTTCTAGGAACTGATGGAATAATATGCACATTTAAATTTAACAAATTCAAACTTATTCTTTAAAAATAACTTACTTTAGCCAGTGGGCAGAGTTAGAAGCCCACTTCTAACTCTGGGAGTTAAGTGGGAGGTAATTGAATAATTGGTTTTCTAATAATAAAGCTATTTTTTACCATTGAATATTTGAGTTATATCCCCTTGGATTATAAGATGCCATAATAATTATTAAAAATAAGACAAACAGAAAACCAGCATTGATAACCACAGTGACAACTTTGGTCCCCAACTGCATGAACCCTGCCTACTTTTCCTCTTGCCTTTGTCAGAAACTCTCATACTTCTGATGTCAGAAGATAATATGAGGAACGAAGATACAAATTTGTGTGCCTTTGATAGTATTAGACACATCTTATAATCTGATTTAGTTTAATCCTTATGGCCACCTGTCAAAATGGGTAGAATTATTCCCATTTTACCAATAAAGAAATTAAGGCTACACAATGTGCTTAAAGTCATATAATTAGTGAGAGTGAACCAGACTTCAATCAGGTGTGTCTCAAATTTAGATGATGCCTTGTAGACATTCTAAGTCTAATTAGGCAGAGATTAAAAAAAAAGAAGAAGAAGAAAAAAGAAAGCTAGAAGCACATCCAAAGGAGAAAAGAGGATGTCAGTAACACAGGGAGACTGATATGGTTTGGTTGTATCCCCACCCGAATCTCATCTTAAATTGTAGCTCCCATAATCCCCATGTGTCATGGGAAGGACCCCGTGGGAGGTAATTGAATAATGGGGGCAAGTCTTTCTCATGCTATTTTTGTGATAGTGAATAAATCTCAGGAGATCTGATGGTTTTATAAAGGACAGTTCTCCTACACATACTGTCTTGCCTACTGCCCTGTAAGATGTTCCTTTGCTCCTCCTTGGCCTTCTGTCATGATTGTGAGGCCTCCCCAGCCATGTGAGACTGTGAGTCCATTAAACCTCTTTTTCTTTATAAATTACCCAGTCTTGAGTATTTCTTCATAGCAGTTTGAAAATGGACTGTTACAGAGACAAACAGGAAAGATCAGAGATGACCAGAGCAACATTATAGAGCAGAGAAGAACACCAGTCCTCTGATATTATACCAAAAGAATGTAAATTAGAGGAAGAGCCTTCTAAATTGCTCTTGCAGATGACACCTTTCCATGGTTTTACCATCTTGACTGTTGTTTTTGTTTGTTTGTTTGTTTTGATGGAGTCTCGCTCTGTTGCCAGGCTGCAGTGCAATGGCACTATCATGGCTTACTGCAACTTCTGCCTCCTGGATTCAAGCAATTCTCGTGCCTCAGCCTCCCGAGTAGCTGGGATTACAGGCACACGCCACCACACCCAGCTAATTTTTGTATTTTTAGTAGAGCTGGGGTTTCACAGTGTTGGCCAGGCTGGTCTTGATCTCCTGACCTCGTGATTCACCTTCCTTGGCCTTCCAAAGTGCTGGGTTTACAGGCGTGAGCCACTGCACCCAGCCTTGACTGGTTTTTTGATTAAATCTCTCCAGAGCCCTACTTTGGGAATTTGTGCAGATACTCTGATGATGTCTTTTGTCAAGAGGAAGAACTCAGAATTATTTCTGATTGTCATGTAATTCCCAGAAGCATTCAGTATACTTGAATTAATAAGTCTTTTATATACTTCCATTCCTTTGCTCCACCCAGGCCATCTGCTACACTGACTTATATTAATCTAAAGAGAACTTTACATTTATCAAATCATTACTTGATTTAAGAATATCATTGGCTCATCCTGATTTTCAAGGTTTTCTGATAGATGTTCACACTTTAGCTTTCCAACCCCATTTCCGGCTCCTTCCCCAACACATATGCTGGCTGCATTCTCATCAGTTATATCAGGCACATCCCCACCTATTCACCTTCACTTAAGTGCTTCTGTTGTCCTGGAATTTCCTTTCATTTCTAATGTGCATATCTGAATCAAGTCTTTTAAAAACATGTTAATACTTAGAAAACATAGGAAAGTATAAAGAACTACTGAAAATGATCTTTATAATCTCAAAAACCAGATAACCACTGCAAACCTCTTTTTAACCTTTCTGTATATTTTCTTCAATTATGCACACATGTTCTTAGAAAATATGGGTCATATTATATAAGTTTTTGTGCCTTTTTATTGATATGGTAGTCAGTTTCCCCCCATCACTAATTATTTTTTAAAATTTTGATTGGGCACGGTGGCTCACGCCTGTAATCCCAGCACTCTGGGAGGTCGAGGCAGTCGGATCACCAGGTGAGGTGATCGAGACCATCTTGGCTAACACGGTGAAACCCCGTCTCTACTAAAAATAGAAAAAATTAGCTGGGCGTGGTGGCGGGCGCCTGTAGTCCCAGCTACTCGGGAGGCTGAGGCAGGAGAATGGAGTGGACCCAGGAGGCAGAGCTTGCAGTGAGCCGAGATTGTGCCACTGCACTCCAGCCTGGGCAACAGAGCAAGACTCCATCTCAAAAAAAAAAAAAAAAATTTAGTGATTTAATAATATTCTGTTGTACTTAATTTATGAAAGTGGTACTCTGTCCTTTGAGAGTTTTACTCCTAATGTTCCCTATATCAGTCATCTTGTAATAAATATACTCATAATACATTTTTTTGTGTCTTTGATTCTATCCTTAACATAGAATCTTAGTGTGTAAATACTGTTTCTAACGCAACATTCTCATGGATCTTAATATAAATATTATTGACAAACAAACTTCTTTCCAGAAAAATTTATTTTAATTTATATTCACATGAAGAAATTATGACAGTTTATCTAAACTCACCCTAATGCTTTTTACTCTGTCAATTTTTAAATCTTATTTCATTATGACTTTTACTTATTTGATACTTAATAGGGTTAAACTTTTAAAAACATATTTATCAGTTAACTCTTTTCTGTGATTTCATTTTTATTGTTTATGCCTATTTTCTGGCTTTCAAAAAAGAAACTAAACAAAGTAAAAAAATAAAATTACCAAATTTTTACTTTTCTAAGTTTTTAAATATTCTATTTTTGAAATTAGAAAAAAATTGGCAAATCTAGTTAAAAACATCATTTTAATCAGTCAATGCTCTCTGGCCGCTTTAAAAAAAAAGGAAAGAATCTGTGCCATACATGGAAGAATGGTTGCCCAATTTTCTATTTGTGAAAGAGCTTAAATCTCTGAGCCAGCAACTAGGAAGTGAAGGAGTAATGAACTAAGTTTTTTTTCTTTCTTTCTTTCTCTTTTTCTTTTCTTTCTTTCTTTCTTTCTTCCTTTCTTCCTTTCTTTCTTTTTTTTCCTTTAGGTAGGATAATGCAAAACAGGGATAGGCTTCCATCTATTTTTCTTAATCTTGTTCCAGGCCCTGGCAAAAACTAAAAAACAAAACAAAACAAAACAAACAAACAAACAAAAAAGGTTTTCTTCCGATTTTAGTTGTCTCTAAAATGTGAGGTTGTTATTTTTGTTGGAAGCCCAACCAAGTGCTGGTTCCCCATTGAACTTATTCCTAACAAAACTAGAATAGGGCTCGTTTGTTCTTCAATTTAACAGTAGCTATTTCTATGGATTTTTTTGTGGGGGCAAGAAATAATATTACAGTTTCCCTGAGGGCATGTAACTTGAAAGATTATTGAATATTGGTAGGTGATATGTTTGTGGCTCCGAACATGGAGTCTAAATATCAGCTAAACCAGTCTATGACTTTTGGAATGTGAGAGAATTATGTTTTAATTTTTTTGAGCCTCATATTTCTCAACTGTAAATTTTCTTAGGGTTTTGATAGGATGAAATCATGCATATTAAACTTAGAACTTCCATTTCCTTCATATCTCTTTTTACTATTTAACCTCATCCTTGAAATCCTGATTCACATTCTTGTTCCAATGTGTAAATGGGAAATGTTCTGAGTTCTTTCTTTCCTAAATGCATGTCTCTTTGGAGCCATAGACCCATGTTGTGAGCTAGATTGTCATCAGAACTTGATAGAACATATGTTAGATAATTTCTTATACTATCAATGAAGAATTTATCATCTTTAAGTCTATGGTAGAATCTAAGTTTAATTATGTTAAGTAAAAACGACAGAAAATCAGCAAAATTGTTGAACAAAGCCAGTGACATAGATGGACACCCAATTACACACACCATTTCCCTTCAAACAGTCTATATGTGCTTCAACCTCATGTGTATTTTACCTTAGATAGTGGAGTCTTGAATCAGCCTCTGACAGATCTGGCTCAGTGCTTTCTGTACCTGTGGAGCCAACTTGCAAAGCTAATGCCCAGGCACCCAGCCATTGCCCATCTCCTTCGGGCAGCTGTTAAGAGTGATGTTGCAAGACACATCCTTAGAAATGAAGGCTTCTCAGCTGCTTGGGAAAATTTCCTCTGATTTTCAAGTGGTGATATAATTTCCAAATTTTCCAACTTGCTTTAAGGGAAATTTCCCAACCACATTACAGTATATATGAATCCAAGGGGAAAGGGGCAGCCACTTCATCCCTAGTTAATTTTAGAATTTCTTTCTCCCAAAATGTGTTTGGTAACTAGCTAACCTTTCCTGCATCCAGTGAGAATGGCTTATTATCTTTCTTAGTGCTCTGTGTTGAGTTTCAATATCCTACCCTTTAATTAAAAACTCTCATTTGCCTTTAGTATACTGTGAAATAGATCCTGGCAACACATATTTTAGTCTTCTATGCTAACCTAGACTTCTTGTATACAGCTAAGGCATGATACTTCTGTGAGATTTTTGCTGTACACTCTTTCCCTGTACCCACATCTGTCTTGTGCCTTGCCTTTGGAGTCCAAACTCGCTCTACAGATGTATAACTTTAATAGGCCAGTAACTGGAAGCATGAAATTTATAAAGAACATATTTGTGATAAGACAGTGAATCAGCCACTCTATATACCATTTTCCTATTAGATATAAAGCTTACCTACTTCCAAGATGCTTTCTTTTTTATGGTTATATTTTCATGTGACCATAATTAGAAATTCTGAAGAAATAGTATCTTCCCAATTACCATAGGATTTGCACAAAATTTACTGATGCCCAAGGCATGTTTTCAGAGTTGGTTGGTTCCAAGTAAGTTAATTTACAACTGATTCTTGTGAGGTTTCACAATACTGAGTTCCTTTTACTTTACTTTAAATACTGAGACTGTTGAAAACATTGACTGGGGTATAGAAGTTGAAAACTTGATTGATGATAAAAACTAATTATCCTTCTTTGCCCTATTTATATTAATGAGATATTTACAGCAAATTTCTAGGAGTTTGTCTAAGAGAGAGAAGAAAGCAAAATCTATTAATGAAGGGTTTTATTAAATGTTTCCCGTATCAGTTGTCAGTAAATCATACCAGCTAAAAGCGCAGCCTTGCTCATCAGATTTTGAATGCGCCAATATGCACAGTGATGCCTGAAGGACTGTGAGAATCACCTTTGACCATAACTTTTGTTCAGACTAATTAACTGCATTGTTTTGCATGATATCATCATAAAAAGATCTTATTTCTTGGCTTATATTTGTCACATTCTGTGCAAACAATGAATACTGATCTATATTATCCCAAATAAGAGATTTGTTTTTATCATTCTATTTCCATTGCATTGACAATAATGTTGTTAACCTTTAATAATGACAACTTAAAGTACTGAAATATATTACCATAAGAAGATATTTCTTTCTTCACTGATATGTTACCTAAAGAATCTTATGTTTATCTCATACAGGGTGAAGAAGGAGCCAAATTTTGAACTGTTGTTCGATGAATTCATATAAAACTCCATGTTCATATTAAAAGTTATTTTCTAAAAAACATATGAAAAGAATAAGACTAACTTATATTTAAATAACATATCAACTTTCCAAAGGTTTTTCTCCTTAGTATGCTTTCTAAATCCTCACAACAATTACAGGTGGATAGATGTTGGTGTTCCCATTATAAAGACGAGGAAAGTAAGACACAGATGGAGTAATGGATTTGCATTAGAGAATAGTTATTAATGTTTTCTGGATCATAGACTCTTTTAGGAATTTGATTCTAACTATAGCCCCTCTCACCTAGAAAATGTATATAGAAAAAAATAAACATTGTTTGTATAGAAACTCATGTTAATAATCTCTAGCCTAGGTAACAAGTATTAGCCTAGCCAGAACTATAGCCCTGTTAACCTGGCTTTTAAACCTTGTTCATTTCTATGTTCCATCCTACCTATTAACTATAGCAGAGACATACTTTTATTATTCTCTCTCTCTTAATCTTGTGTTAAGATTAATATATTTTCTTTAAAAGCTTACTGAATATTTCTCCTTTCTGTACAATATGTGATATAAAACTTCTGTAAATTAATTCTTCTCGTTTCCTCTTCTTCACAATTTCTACTAAGGTTTTTTTTTTCATGCTACTTTCCTAGTCCCTATGGGATGTGGAGACAGCATATGATGATCTGACAGTTTCAGACTGTACAACTTGTGCTTCACACATCAAAGAACAGGGACTTAGTAAGCTGTGCCTTGTTTTCCTGTTCTGCCACTGAAAAAGTGATATATTAGGTTTCTAAATATTGTTCTTATGATGTCAAGGTTAACTTGTGGAATAAGTCCATATGAGTTATAGGAATTCACTTTATGTTTCCCTCAATTGTTTTTGAGCTTTAAATAAAAACAGAGGGGGATGAGACTAGAAAGATAATACATAACACTCTTAAAATACACAAAAAAAATCTCTGTCTTTTGTTATCTAATTGCTTTTTTCTTTTTTCTGTATACTTTTTATTTTCTGTTTGCCTATAATACTCTCAAACATATAATAACATCTTTTTCTATGTCTTTTTCCCTTAAAATAAAACTTTATTAAAAAATTATCCAGGGCTTTTAGTTTTTATCATTTACTCTGTATCATTTTTATCACCAGATTTTAAATGAAGGAGAGTCTGTGAATTAGACAAGCTGCAAACATTTTTATATTGAGTACTTAAACACAATCATTATAATTAATTTTGATACAGAGGTTGAGTATTCTACCATTCCTTTTAGCAATTTTAGTTGAGCGATGCACAATGCCATAGATTTGAGTATATGTTTGTTTTATTTGGGTAATTAGTCCTCTGTTCTGTTCTACTTTTCTTCCAAGGTTAAGAATGTAATAGCTATCTACTCCTCACAACCTATAATTAAGACCCTGTTTCCTCACAGCTTATGCCAAGTGACGAGTTCTACATGTTCCCTCTTCAATAGCAGAATTTGAACTGTGCTCAATCCTATGCTCCTTATTTTATCCCCTCGGTGGAGAAGACATAGCCTTCATTTTAATGTTGCAGTTGACATTTTTCTTGTCATCTTTACTATACCATTTCTGCTTCCTGTAGGCATGGTGAGAAATTATCAGTCAATCCAAGCAATCTGGAGTTGTGAGAAAGACAAGGCAGAAAGAGGAAACTTGAGGGGAAGTAAAGAGTGGGGACACAAGATTGAAGCTGCTTGTCAGAAATCAAAAGTGAAAGGAAAGAAGTAGCATGGAAATGGAATCCATGGCATTTGCCTCAACCAGCCTTTTTAATAATATGTCCAGGTTGCAGTTTAGAAGTTTAATTTCAGGATCCATCTTTCCATTCATGTTTCTCATTAGCTTTTTATTTTGGCTTTTTAATCCTAGTTTTTTTTTTTTTTTTCTGTTGGTCTCTCTCTCTTTTTCTTATGCTGTTTTCTGATTGTCTTGGAATTTCATTCTTATTTCCTCCCATATTCGTCAACTGATAGCTAGATTTAACAGATCATCCCTAGTTACTAATGGTATGATCTGTGGAACTCTTTCCTCATTAAAAATTATTATAGCTTTCATAATATGGCCCAGCAAAACATAGTAAATAATCTTGTGTAGCTCTGACTAGCCCAGGTTACAAGAGCTATCTATTTTAGTTAAAATGTATTAGAGTATACACAGAAAATAATAGAAAAGTCACTCAAAACTACCATGTATGAATAATAATGTATTTGCAATAATTAGTATAAAATATGTTTAAAATCTTAAATAGATATTTTTCTTGCTTAATAAGATTAGTGGTTGACATCTTCTGTCATTGGTCAGCTGCTTAATTATGTCAAAGTCAATAAGTATTTCTACAATTCTTTTTGTTAGTGATTGCTGCTGCACAGTTGCAAGATAGCTGCCTTAGCTTCAGGCATGATGTTCATATTAAAGGCAGCAAGGCATAGGGAGAAGGAAAAGGGGTTATGCTACCCGTTAATCTAGGAAAACCTAAAAGCCTTCCCGGAGGCCCTCAGCAAACTTTGCTTTGCATCTCACTGACCGTATCGTTGGTGGATTCTGTATCTCATGATCACTGCTACCTGCAGTAGGTGATACAAAATAATTGTTTAGCTTTCCCAGCCTTTGTAGAGGAAGTGGCATGGAAGGAACTTGAGAATTATGAGTGAGTTCACTGATGAACAGGGTCAACTACATTTTTTTTACTGGGAAGTAAGTACAAAACAGTTAAGCACACACATACACATACATACACAGGCAAGATATCAAGAAAACAAACAAACAAAAAAAAACTGAAAACCCAGAGGAAGAAACTGTAGCCTGGTACCTTACTCAATATTGCTTTCATGGTAACTTTTTCTCCGTATATCATTTCTCCTTGTCTAAAGTGTGAATTAAAATTCATCACTTCCCAGCTTCTGACTGTCTGGCTCTAAGTAAAAGCTTAAAGATGAAGACACAATAATTGTAACTTGGAAAGGATCAACAAGATTTCTCATCTGAACTACCATAAATTACTCTAGAAATGTGGCTCTTCTTTAATTTCCCTGGACTATCTAAAGAGTTTCTTAACTAATTATCTTATTAGCCTCGCTCTTTATGCCACTGAAGGTCATTTTTTTGGTTACCATTTTAGTAGAGAGAGTGAAGAATGTATTGGTGCCCACATGTTATGTTTCTCGTTGTCCAACTTTAGAGCATAAGTTCTGACATATTCAAAAACTCTGATGAAGCAGTGACTCATCTGACTGGTAGGAAAAACTCACTCATGTGGTGCCTTAAACAGACAGCAAATCTGGGTAGGCATGAAGTGGTTCCATGAATCCCCAAATCCATTTATTATTATTGAGTTAGAAAAGATAGTCAGGCAATGTGTTTCTGAGAGCATCTAGGGAAGAATCTAAGGAGCATTTTCTGAGTCCTGATGCCCTCAATTTCTTTAGTTTAAGCCTTTCTGCTTCTGTAAGGAACACATTGATGAATTATAGGTCTGCAGTGAAGGGTAATCATGTGTTAGCTTAAGTAAGGTGCCATGCCTTGATTGCAGTGTTCAGTATTGAATACCTTCACTGCATCTCAGATCCAGTTGTTGAAATGTAAATTATGTGAATTGTGTGTGAATTTATAAAAGTCAAACACACTATTGAATTCAAGTCATGAGTTGTGAACTGAAGGCAGTGGGTTTTAGATTAAATGAACACCTTATTAGACTTGTTGGTAGAGAAGTGAACATGTTTTTGTATGCCTGCTATGTGTTAGGCTAAATAACCCTGTAAAGTATTTTCCATCTTTGTTTTAAAAGATGAGACATTAAAGCTTAGAGGGACCAATTAATTTGCCTAAGTTTATAAAGGTGAGAACAAGAAGGTGTCCAATACATTTCCTTTTGTTCTTTATGTTACATAATTTAAATATATTTACACTTATTCTTTCAGATATATCTGGATTTTATTATTTTACAAAAGGAAATATCATGGAACTTTTCCATGTCTGTAACAGAAGTCCCTAGATATACACCAGGATGGTACTTTATTTCTTCTGGGACCTGTGAAGTTATTCAGTCTCCTCCTGGAACAATTGTATAGCTAACACTACTTCCCCCTGAAAGCATCCCCCGGCTGATGATGACAGTTAAGTGAAAAGCTATACAAGAATCCTCTTGACTTCCTAACATAAAATATGTAAGCACACTTACCCTTTGCTGATTATGAATTAACTGATGCTACAGCTTTGCTGTCACAGCTGATGAGAACCTAAAATTAGTGCTCCCAGGTGTGTTGTATAGGCACACAGGGCAGGTGCATTCTGGGAGCCCTTCCCAATTCCTGGTTGCACCTTACTGAGATTAGAAAATTGGCAACCTATGGATGCTGCAGAAATGCCAGGAAAGTCTCATTTGACTAGAAAGAAGGGAGGCAAAGAAGTCACTTGTTCACTTGTTTTGTTCTTGGATCAAAAGATTCTAGTCTCATGTTTCTTCAGCCTAGTCACTCTGGGAATTCATTGTCTCACCTCAAGGGCTGGCATTAGCCTCATTCTTCATGGTGTACTGCACTGGACCAACTGTGAAATCTTGTACAATGAGGAAGCACTCTCTGGCTTTGAAGGTATCTCAAACAGGTGTGAAATATGAGATCTGATTTTATTAAATACATTATCTTCATAAGCTTAGTAAAGGAGTCAGAGGGTAACTTTCTTTGTTCAGAGTTATTCTCATGTCCCAGTGAACTGAGGGCATTACTCCTGTCTGCCTCATTTGTCTCAGCCTTTACATAGCAGATTAAGTGGATTTCCCAATATCTGGAGAACAAGCAGAAGGAAATGCTCATAAAAAAGAGATTGGTTATGGTGCTTATTCTCACTGACAATGTTCTTCTTGCTTCGTTGGAGGAATGGGATTATTCTGAAATGCCTCCATGCCTAATTTTCTCTTCCTTGAAACGCCCAGGGAGACAAATGAATAGTATTTACCCAAATTATATAAATCATTATATTTCATCAACACAGTTGTTCCTCTTGACATTTGCAAAGTGCCTTTTAGTAGTTCTTACTAGAGTCAGTGCTCATAATTCTCTAGTAAATAAGAGGAGTTTGTACATCCTCTTCACAGGTAAGATCCTTGAAGTATAGGGTGATTAAATATGCAAAGGTGGGATAATGAGGCACCTGGCTAGTCTCATCTGTTGGTAACAATTTGAAAGATTGAATCACTCTTTCCTTGAATATACCTTTCTTGTGTCCAATGTATGCCAGAGACTATTCAAGGTGATATGAATAAAAAGATAAATAAGATAATAAGGGACTCCTATCCTTATGGAGCTCAAAGACTAATAGTAGGAATCATGAAAGCTACCAAGGACAGCACAGTGCTCCAAGTGTTGTAATAAATGACTGTATAAGCAGGATGATGGTGCCTTGTAATAGATGTACCTAGGGGTTAATGTGTGAATTTCATAACATTCTATGTAAAACCATGTGTGTTTATGAACACAAATATGTGTTTTGTGTCTATATACTCTTTTTTTTTCTTAAGAGAAACTCTAAGCATTACTAGTATAAGATATTATAGGAATCAGGATGAATTGTTAAGGAAGCCTATGGGAATAGGCTGAGAAATTTACAAGTACTGCCTTGTCTCAATTGTTTCTTTCTCATGAAGTTGGCAAGACAGAATTGCCTATGGATCCTAATACCTAACTAATGCAGAGCTTTCTGATAAAGCTGCCTGCATACCTGACTTAGGACAAAATTTAAGCCAGGACTTTCTCCCTCATAAGGCCCCATCATACCACCTGCCACGCTTTGAATGAAGTTGGCCAATGTCCCAAATTCTGTTAGATCATATTACCCACTCCTCCTCTCTTATTGTGAGAGAGAAGATTTATGTGGGAGATGGTGAGAGACACTGTTGGTGATAGAGTGTAAGCAAGAGAGTGGTGCTCAGAAAGCATTTGAACAAGCTGAAACTTAAACCACTAAATAAGTTTTTACTAAAGAAATAGTGGCATACAGTGTTTTAAAGAAAGGCTGGTGGCACAAGTTCTTCTGTTACAAAATAACTCTTCTTCAAGTGGTGTCTGAAATTTTTACCCATATATGCCTTAGTACATAGAATGCAGTTTTAATCCAAAAACAAGATGAGATCCATAGATGACTTATTTTTGAGCTGTTAGTCCTTCAATTTGAACCTTGTTATTGGATTAAGAAACCAATCATCAGACTTGTTTCTGAGGTAATATGACATAAACAAGATAGCTTTAAATGTTGGAAGTGGTCTGACATTAGTGCTATTCAGTTACTAAAAAAATGGTGTAAAAGCCATTGATGAACCGGTCAGTGTTTTAAGTCGCAAACAAAATAAAACAACTCTGGCTAATTTAAGTAGAATCAGCAGACAAGTAGCCCCAGCTCATAAGGAATGGAAGCTGTGTTAACACCTAAGGTCCTGCCAGGAGATGTCATCTTAGAATGCTACCACTGATAACTGACCATGGGACAGTATGTATAGCAGCTCCTTCACTATATCAGCTTCACCACCAGCACCATGAATTCTTACTCTTTGAGAGCCCCATGTCTCTGTGTTCCTACTGTCAGATTCAAGGTCCTGATCAGGGGTCTCTGGTTGATGGAATAATCTGGCTACCAGGAAGAAAGAGGAGGGAATGCTTACACACACTGGCTTTTGTAGTAAGAGAAAGGGTCCTGTCTTGACCAAAATGTGTGCATCGAGGCATAACCTGAAAAAGAATGAGAATTTGGCTACTAGTCAGTCAGAAACACCACCATAGACATCCACCACTGTTGGGAAGACTTTTGTTCTTCCTGAATCTCAAATGTGTTTCCCTCCTGCATGTTGGACAAACTCAGAAGCAGGTGAGGAATATGATATTCAGTACAGAAGCAGGTGAAATTTGTAACAGACCCAGTAACTCTCAAAGCACTTTTGAAGACTTGAAGTATGGGGACAAGTGGCGATGAAACTGCTTGATGTGGTTGATCAGTAGGTCAGTCAAGTCTGCTACTGATGGAACTGTGACCTAGGAAAATACACTTCATTTTGATCATCCTCAATATCTTCACTAATGAAATGTAGGGGGTATTTCTTATTGCCTGTTAGATATCCTCATGTAAATATTCATGTATCTATCAAATGTTTATTTTGTACCTTCTCCATGCTAGTAAGCATTCTAGGCAGCAGGTAACAGTGGAGGGGAAGCTAAAACATGTTCCTGCTTCTTAGAACTTGCTAGACAGACTAGTACCTATCTAGCAAGTACAGGGTGATTAAATATGCATAGATGGGATAATGTGTGTTATAGATAGACTAATATATATCTAGTCTATCTAGCAAGCTCTATCTAGTCTACTGTTGGTCCAGATAGATACTAAACTTGAAGGAGAATCAGGGAGACTGAGAATCAATAATTCTATTTTGGATATACTAAATTTGAAATGACTATTAAGCAGAAACATAGGAATGTCAGAGGAAAGGAAAGGACTAAAA
The DNA here is from genome assembly GCF_000001405.40 of Homo sapiens. NCBI lineage: Eukaryota > Metazoa > Chordata > Mammalia > Primates > Hominidae > Homo > Homo sapiens. The sequence continues at coordinate 117,840,614 of NC_000003.12, read as the reverse complement.
ATATAATTTTGAGTTTTTAAGTATATTATGTGGTATTTAAAGCCATAAAATGGAATTAGTTCATTCAAGATGTGGGCCCAAATTTAGAAGAGAAGAGGGCTGAAGACTTAATCTTGGAGTACTCTAACATTTAGAGATTTGTTATAAGGGGAACTTGTTAAATAATTGAGACTCCCGTGGTATAGGAGGAAATGTGGAAACTTAGGAAGAAAGTGACTCAAACTTATCAAATGGATGTTGTCTTTGGCAAGCACTCTTTCAGTCAAGGGCTAATGATGAGAATGCGTTTGAAGAGAATTGAGGAGACGAGCAATGAGAATGTGAAAACATTAAGTGCATTCAATTCTTTCAGGAAATATTGTTAAAACACTGGTGCTAGATGCTGTTGTCGCTATTACAGTTATTTTCTCATTATCTGTTTTTGGGTTATAGGGTCAACTATTGGAAGTCCTCAGATAAAATATTATATTAGTTGAATCTAGGTCACAAGTCTTTATCAGAACCAGGGACAAAAAACAAGGATGAAATTCCATAATGTGAGGTGAAATCTTAGTTCATAACAAGATTCATACAATAGGTATTATCAAAATTAAAGCAGAGTATTCAGATGTATATCCGCCCAAATTAACAGAGTCCACTGTTTTCTCCATTGTGTCTCTTGTACCCATTATGATCTTCATTCCAAATACAACTGCTGTCATATTGATCACCATTCTTTCTCATCCGTCTACTGTTTTTTTCCTCCTCCATCCTCTAACTGTCATAAACTATTACCATTAGATAGTTTTTTATCAACTTTTTTTATCATATCACTTCCTGTTAGAAACTCTGCACTTTCTTCTCACTGTCTAAAGTCCAAACTCCATAGGCTAGAATCCAGGCTGCTTCTTTATTAAGTCACAACCATTTCTTTCTAGTCTTATTTTCTGACTTACATTTAAGCATCTCTTGGTCCAACAGGACTGAGTTACTCTTTCATGTGCATACTTTATTTCCATAATGGTTTTCATTGTCCTTCATGAAATGACCTTTATATCTCTGTCTACTCTTTTGGTAAACCTTCCAGAATTCTACTCCAGGAGAACAGAATCTATTGTTTTTTCATAATGTACATAATGTTATCTAGCAAATTGTTAATATTTATAAGTTTGTATGTGACATGTATATGTGTGTGTATGTGTGTGTGTATATATATGGGGGGACACTACTTTCCAAGTTGCATTTTCGGTTTCGCATTACTCAGAACACAACTAAATAAGCTCTTTTTACTTGAACTTTCCATGTCCTATAGCCCTGTACAAAACTAAAGTCCTTCCCAAATTCCCCCACATTTTTATGTATTTCCAGGAAGCTTACATTTTTTGGTCATTTCTGCCTCTGGAGTCATGAAAGCTGTCTTTTTTCTAAACAACATTTAATATAAATGAGAAACTTGGCCCTGTCTCATTTTCCACAGAAATCAACCAATTGATCAATCAATCAAAACAATAACAAAAGGTGAACTGAACAGTAACAACAAGAACCCACTGAAGATGTGGCAGGTCATAAGGAGGGTTCTAATTTCCCCAAGACACAGACTCAACTTAAGATTCTATATTAGGCATTCCTATGCTTATTGTTTTGGCTGTCCCACAGCTAAAAGTTCCTGATGAATTTCCTCTATATGTAGCAACCACATTTCTACTGTCTTCTGAATGAGCCACTTCTTTGGTTCTTTCACTTCTAAATGCAATTTAACATTAAGCTTAGTTACTCAGGTCTCTAAAACACCTATGATTTAGGGCTCATGCTCTATACAAAGTGGCCTATCAAGGCACGTTTTTAAAAATAGTTCTCTTCCCAAAAGGAGCTATTATATGTCAGCCGTTAACAGTTTATTTTTCACCTTGTTACGTCTTTGTAATACTTTTATCTCTCTCAGTAGGCGGCACATTTTCCAGCAAGTAGAGATAGGGTCATATTGATGTGTTCCACGGAGTCAAGCACAGTGCCTGACACGTAATAGGCATGGAATAATTATGTGTTGAATGAGTGAATGATTGATACTGAGTGTTTCCTCAAGGTGTAAGTTCATATTTTTCTATTTCTTCAAATAGTTTGTTCTAAACTAATCAAGGTCTACTAATTATTAATAATTGTGACATAATATAGCTAGTTAAATAAATATTGACTTAAAAGGAATAAACAGAAACTACTGACCGAAGTGGGCAGGCCATTAGATTGTATTGAGGTCAGAGTCAGGGACATTTCTGTTTGGCACCAATGTGGTGATTGATCTTTGTGTTAGTTTCTCTTTGCTGTTACTACTGCATTTAAATAAAAAACAATGAGAAAACTTCAGACTGAAGGATAAATAGGTGATATCCCATAACGTTTATGAAGAAGCATCTTCTACCACCTCTATTTTCTTCTCCAGTGTGTATATCAGGTCTGCCCCATGAGAAAGTATTGCTTCCTTTAGACAGGCACTGTCTTGTGTTCCATACACAGCACCACAGCTCTTAGATGTTTCGTAGATTTTGTTAAAGTGATTTGATTAGAATTGAGAAGTTTCTCTGAACCTCTTGGTACTGACTTTCCTCTTTGTTTCATTTTAGAAATGGCTAAATCTGTTGTGTTCTCCAGAGACCAAAACATACGCCCAATGGATCGAAACAAAAGCTTTTCTTTTTCTACCTTCAATATGAAAAATAAAAACAAAATCAAAAGAAAATGAACCTTGTCTATAAAGATTAAATAGTAAAATACCCCTTTTTAGATTAATCAACCAAAACAGTACTCTAAAGATCAAGATATTTAATCAAACAAATAAATCAAATGCTAAGTTAAATTAAAGGCCATCAAAGAGAAGTAGTTTTTCAGATTTTTAATGAGAATAAAAAAACTGAATCATATGTCAAAAATAGGAATGTTTTCTCTTCGTATAACAGAGCAATGTTTCACAAAATGTGGTCTGCATGAGGAATAGTCCAGGGAGGGAGAACTATTAGGCATTGAAACAGAGGAGCTATTTAGCCACAGTAATGCCTGTGATGGAGAGGCAGATACTCAAAAGTGAACACAAGTGCACTGTTTTGAAATATGCTAATGAGATCCATGCAAATAGAACACTAATTTATAAAATAGAATTTACTTTGGTTACTCAGATAAATAAAAGATATTTCAGAAATATGTTAATTCCTCCCCTCCCCCAAAATTAATGTGCTGAGTACCATTATGATACCTAAAGTATAGAAGAAAGCTAATGGAATTCATTGTTGACCAGGTGGATTTTGTTTTATTTTATTTTTTTTAGCCAGTTTTGCTATGTTGCCCAGGTTGGAAATCTTCTCCTGCTGAGTGTCTAAGACTACAGGAGTTCACCACCATGCCTGGCTCAATCAGGTGGATTTAAATCCCAGATATATTATCTGCTGCCTAAGTAAAACAAGACAAATCACTCACCATGTGCTGAAATTTAACTTCTTAATGTCTGAAACAAGGAGAGCAGTACATTCTTTAAAGTCTTATTGCAAGGATCGGTTGACTTAACATGCAGATTATCTAAGACAAGTGTCGGTGAACTTTTTCTCTGAAAGTCTGGATAGTAAATATTTTGGGCTTTGCAGATCAGATGGTTTCTGTTGTTACTACTCAACACCTGCCATTTTGGTGCAAAAGCAATCATGAGCAACATGTAAATAAACCACTATGGCTGTGTTCCAATAAAACTTTATTTACAATAAATAATTGCCCACATTTGCTCTGTAGGCCATAGTTAGCCATCCCATGATCTCAAGCAATGGCTGGTGTGTTGGCAATGTTCGTAATTTAAATATAAAAAATCACCCACCACAGTGTCTGCCACATAGGTAATTGTGGATAAATGCATTAAGTCAGTCAATCAATCAGTCAAGAAATCAAGGAATGACTATAGCCTAGTGAGTATAATTATTATCCCCAACCTCATCACTTAATATTTTACTACTTCTCATGCATGTCATTTTTTGCTGTTTTAATGAGATCATTTGACAGTTCCTATTGATGTTCCAGATACAAGAAGGTGCTTATGCTGTCAGAATTTTTTAAAAAGACTTTTCTTAAAACATTCTTCAAATAATTGGCTTAAGATGTGGTATTTAGGAAACTCAGTGGTGAAAATTGGAAGAAATCCCACGTAGCAATCTTTTCAAAACAATATTGCATGAATGACTGTATACTAGGAGATATTCACAGGGTTCTATGGTAAAATATTTTTGAGAAATGGTGTGTTAAAGGAAATTAAGCAGGCTTCTCTATCATAGAAATTATCATGCTCTTTGATGTTAAAGAGGGGTGGAGGAATATATTCTGCACAATTTCCCAAATATTATTTAGCTAGACAACTTTTTTCACATACTTATTATCATCTTACATACCTGTTTCACATACCTATTACCACCTTTGGAAAATCTTAGTTGGGAAACACTGCTCTGTAACATATATCAAACGTCAGTACATTTGAAATAAATGGTATGAATGGCCTCCTCAGACAAGGAGCTTAGCAGACCAAAAGAGAAAAATGCTGACAATCTACTGTTTAAGTTTTGTATTTTTTTATTGAATCATTTGTTCCTTCATTTATTCAATAACCATTTATCATTTACTGTATTCAAGGTACATCCTTATTCCTTTTAAAAATTTAAGGGTAGCTTTATGAATAGAAAGTTTAGAGATTCTAACATAAATGGCTAAAATCTCCAGCTCTTTGTTTCACATCTATAAAAAATTTTCTGAGTTTCATGGGAAGATAAACTTTTATTTCCAAAAGGAACTTCAAAGTTATATGAAGATAAAAGAAGAGGTACAGTGAGTGAACTGGAGTAATATTTGGCAATAACCTGCCAGAGAGCTCATCTGAATTAGAAAGAACTCTGATAAGGAATCTCTTATAGTTTTAAGTCCACAGAAGCTTGAAATAGGGTTGAAGCAGCCTTGCTGAAACTAATACTCTTGCATTAGAATCATTTTCAAAATTTGATAATGAATTTTATTTAAGTAGATATTAGGGAGATGAATCATTTTCAGGCAACCCTCTGTGTATCTGAGGGTACTATACTCTTTTGACTGGTCTCAGAGAAACACCACAAAACACGAAAGAACTACTTCAACTAAGCAATTGCTATAAATTCAGCATCCTCAATTACCAATATTTTTATCATAGGGCTGTAAAATGATGTTGGTACCAGAAAGGAACACAAATTGTTTATGAGTATTATGAGGCAGAACAAAGTAACTTCTTTCTACTTCCTTCCCATTCCTCAACAGGCATACATACACACAACTTAACTTTTCAGAATTTCTTTCAATATAAGGAATTTCTTGACTACAATTTAGTTATATCTAGTACGAGGTTATCCTGAAAGAATATTTTCTGTAGGGCTAGTGGAACAAAAAGCTGAATCTATAGAGCCTTCCGATAAGTCATATATACATATACATTTAGTGACTTCATGATGTTATTATATTATGTATATTTTACAGTTTTTGCTGCTACAGTGCTGGTGCCAAGTGTATTCCAGACATTCAACTGAAGTCTGTTTTTTAATGTAAACTTAAATCGGTAATTAAAGTGACCCAACCTAAACTTAACAATGTTGAACCATTCTTTGATTAAAGTAAATTACAAAAAAGCAATACAGAAAAAAAGTATCTTCTCCAAAATACTTATGGATGATCTGGATTACAAGCCCAGTGTGGTGAATAATACAATTGCCTAATGCATAATGCAATTTCTCGAAGATTTGGGGTAATATGTAGACCTCTCTCAACTTCAAATCTTAGAGAAAAACTCTAAATCCTCTTATGAAAATAATTGAATAGGGCTGTGTGGAGAGTGAAATTTGACATTTACATTTAAAGTTGTGGTTCTGTGACCTGACCTTCCTGGAGGTTGGAGGGGGGGACCTTCCTATTAAACTCAGTGGGTACCTCAAAATGATTTAAATGTTGGCAAGCGAAAGATTATGTATGAGAGAACTGGCCAAGTCCATGCAGAGACTATTTTTTTCTCTGTCCTAATTTGGTAAATAAGTATTATCATTCCAGAATCTATCAATATTGATATTAGAATCCAATGTTAAATGCAAATGACCCAACTCAGCACATATTTCTCATTATTTTTCTAATCTAGAACACTTGAAAACTGGATTTCAACTGTGGTCACATGCTTTCTTTATGGGATATGAACAGAGAAGACAAAATATTGAGAAACACCTAGGAAGGAACCTGAAATGAATTGATAGAATTAATGAGAGAAATACAAAATGAATTGTGAAACAGGAAAGTAACTTAATCTTATTAAGCCCAGCAGAGCCAGTATAATTAAATAGCAGCTATGGTATCATTTAATTATTTTTCCTAAACAGCACTATCATTATATATGACCAAGAAATAACTTTTCTGTATTTATTTGACAGAGTAGCAAAAAATGAATGAAACTTACATTATCAATTGCAAAAGTGGCATTACAGTGGATTGGAAGTAATTTAAAATTACACCTAATAGAAGAAAGCACACTCCAAATGAATGTATAGTGCTACTAGGAAATAAATGAATTCTTTACTCTTAAGTCTTTTGTTTTAAAGAGAACCTTTAGCAATGAAAGCCAAATAATTGTCCCTAAGACCATGAAATGAATCAAAGTAGCTGTAAATGGCTTTCATGATTACAAGAAAAAAGATTTCCTTCTCTTTGAATTGTTCTCTTTTTATGCGGTGCAGGCAGAGTCCTATTGTATGACATAGAGCCCCTTAGGTTGTTTCTAGCTGTAACTTTGACATAACTATTCTCCTTTGTCTGGTTTCATCTTTTACACTGCACTCTCTTCTCTTTACACCCCCTTTCTTAAGCTGCTCTTTGCATGCCTGCTTCCTACTGTTATAAGTGAGTATATGCTATGACTTGTAAACAAGGAACTGCTATCAGCCAATTCATTAATGAGAGTCCTGCCTGAAGTTCTCCTGTGAAAGATAATAATTTGTTAGCCTAACTAAAATCTTCTTCCTTCCTGAGAAATATCATTCTGAGAAAATATTGATTGAGGATGGACCCCTGCTAGGTAATACATGTACAATTTATACATACTTGAGAATATTCAAGTGCACTATCTCTTTTTTGATAGTCAGTAAAGACTAATAAACAAAAACGACCTCATTTTAAATAAACAGATGTTTTAAATTGACAATGGAGGCATAATTCACCAAGTATGCTGAAGATAATTATTTCCAAGATAGGGGATAGTAACCCAAATTAAAACAGGCACCTATATATAAATTTATATTCTGTTTTATTTAAGTATTCTAAAACAGTCTTTGCCTTGTGATTCTTTACACATGAAATGCTATTCTCCTTGCTTATTCAAATTAAAATAATAATTCATAGCAATCATAGGTTCTATCATCTCATGTTATGGCTGAAAGTTCTAATAAGTATGTATTTCTTGCCTTGCTTTCTTGACCACCTTTATTCTGGATAGCAAGTAGAAATATATTATTTCATTTCAGCTATATCTGATTTTAAAACTGTTGCTTTTGGAGGGATGACTAAGCATGACTTAGTATTTCATACCTTCAGGTGGCACTGTTATGTGACCCTTCAGTGCCTCCTCAAACATTCAATCCTTGGTACTGTGTTCCTCTTCACACTCTATGTTCTTTACTTCTAAGTTTTAGCCCAGCCTATCTTTATCATCTGGCCCCAATCTTTACTTTTCACCTTTGCTTTTAATTTAGCTCTTAATTATAAATAGTTTTTCATTGTTCAATTTTTATTTTTTTAACTCTAAGGCTATAACCTGAACAAGCTGAACTCTGCTACACATCCTGGGAAAGATGGTCCAGACTTCTCCTCTCCCACATTGCGTGGCAACTATGCTGGGGTGAAAGTCAACTGAATTTTGAGTAGAAGATATAAGTTGGAGGGTCAGTTTTCATTCCTAATACATGCGCAACCTTGGACAAAGCATAATATTTCTGACCCTCTATGTTCTTTAAGCCTATGACCCACCTCAATATCTTACGTGTGGGGTCCCTTTATTAATACCATTTATTGAAAATTACATGGTGACTTTTTATGACATTCTAGATGTATATTGCATCATGTGGAAATCTACTGTCAGAGATGTTGGATTTCCAAGTGCAGCTGGTGGAGAGGAAGGATGGGGCTGAGTGCATAGGGAGCAGATTAAGGACCTAAATGGAATATAGGGATGGTTCCCAAAGAGAGGATAAGAGTGAATATTTGACTATTTGACAATACAATGTATAGAGCATACAAAAGGGAATAATGAACTCAAGCCAGGTTTCAGCTAGTGGGTGTGCCTTTGAGCCAGCACCTATATGTATATCTAGGAAAGGCTAATCTGGTTAGTGAGGCTTGGGAGAAACACTACATGCATTGTGGTCATATTGATAACAGCTTTACAATGTTGATTTTTTTTTTCTTTTTTTGTTTGTTTGTTTGAGACAGAGTCTCGCTCTGTCGCCAGGCTGGAGTGCAGTGGTGTGATATCGGCTCACTGCAACCTCCGCCTCCCAGGTTCAAGCAATTCTGCTGCCTCAGCCTCCCAATTCACTGGGATTGCAGGTACGTGCTGCCACACCCAGCTAATTTTTGTATTTTTAGTAGAGATGGGGTTTCACCATGTTGGCCAGGATGGTCTCAATCTCCTGACCTCGCGATCCACCCACCTCAGCCTCCCAAAGTGCTGGAATTACAGGCGTGAGCCACCATGCCCAGCTCAATGTGTTGACTTTTAAGAGGTTTGTGATTTCTAAGGAGGAACCTAGCTATAAACTGATAGGAGAGTAGGGTGAATCTAAGGAGGTTAGAGAGTACTGGGAAGCCATGTATTTCAACTGGGCTCCAGCTATATTTTCAGTTCCCCAGAAAGCCAAAGCAGAAGTCTCATTGTATGCGTTTAGGCCAACATGAGAGGAATGGACTAATATTTTGACCAAGTAAGCACACTGCCTCATGTGCATATCTAGGCCAGAGCTTCTGGGTATGAATCAAATGTTAGCTCCCAGCAAAACTATTAAGTGGCTTCTAAGGAAGTTAGTTTTTCCTCTGTGTTCACTCAACACCATGTTACAATTTCTAAAATAGAATTTAATATCATAGTATTTCCATTATTCATAATTCTGTCTTCCCTTTAGATTATGGGTTCTTAAAAGAATCCATAAAATTGCTTTCGGCTCGAATTCTTCAGTGCTTAGTACGGTGCCTAGCATAGGTACACAAAAAATGCTTGTGGAGTAAATGAATGAGTGGATGAATTAACAGAGCTTCATTCCAGGGCTAAAAGATATACCTCTGAATATTGTTTATCCTGAAAATGCATGCCTTTGTCACAATATTAACCATGGATCACTGTAGGGATGATTCGAAGTCTGTGATAGGTGCTCGGGTAAGGAGGAGGAAGACATCAAGGATACCTTCTCCATTTGCCTTAGCTTCTTTCTGAAACATTTGGACGAAAATTTTTATCCCAACAGATGTCACAGTGCCATAGACTGTAGTGCCTCTGATTCCTTCTAGTACAGGGCTAGGGAAATAGTTTTGAGCATATGTCCTATTCATGAAAGGTTCGTTTTTCCATATGAAGTTGACCCATGATGTGCTATGAATGTGAATATTCCATTGATAAATATCAGTAAAAATGACCAGGGAGAAAACAAAGGGCTCTTAAATTATTTTTCCTAACATCAGATTTTGCCACTGAGGACCTTAAGGAGGAAGAGAGACTGAAGGCTCTTACTTCTTAAGAATTTCTTTTGCTCTGGAATCACTTTCGTTTACAGTGATCACATCAGTTTTCTAAATAATTAGAAAGCACTTTGCTGAGGGAAGTGTTAGTGGCTGCGTTAGTTTGGAGGCAATTTGGTTTAATCATGTGGTTGACGATCCTGAACTGTTCGGCAGTCCCAGACTTCACTGCCATAAACACAGGGACAGGGAAGTATTTTTTCCCAAACTTCACTTGTAACAAAGAGTAACTTTTTTTTCAGACTTTTTATTCTTAAAATCCACAGTTAGGGACTTTGCTCAAGTAGGACATTTTTGCTTAATCTTCACACCCTCCTATTTCAGAGTGCTGAATTATCAAGTAAGCCAAGAGAAGATTATACTAAAAATGGGACTCTCAGAATTGTGAACTTATTCAGCAGAGATTTTACAAGAACCTTGGGGGATTTTATTCAAACTTAACTTGAAAAATTTTCAATAATAGTCTCTGGTTTTGGAAAACTGCCTCTCAAAGTTTCCTCTTTCTTCTTCTTCTTTATTGTGTATAGAGATACTTCTATAATATTAAAAAAATGTAGAGGCAAAATGGAAACTCATGGATCTAAATCCTCAGTGAATGCTCTTAGTTTGAGTTTACAAAAAGGTTTATTATAAAAGTTGTTTTGGAAAAAGTATGTTCAGGCATAGGATTCCATAAAATTCATTCATTCAGCAAAAATGTGTTGCATACCTACTCTGTCCCAGGCTTGCCAGATTTTCCAGACATACTCTGTGATAATTTGAACTAGAGCCAGTGAATCCAGCTTTGTGATTTTTCTCAAGCAGAACTCAGAAGCTCATTTATAGAAAAAGGCAACTGCAGCATTACCCAAGATTGACAAGATAGGATGTGGGGGAGAATGAGAAAACAATGCACTCCACAATGGTAAGTGTGAATGATGGAAGTGGACTTTCCTCATCCTGGATGCTCTTCCTCCAGAGCATTTGCATGGTGTTTCCTCCCATCATGTCTCCTCCTGGAGGGGCTTTTGCAGGTAACCCAGTCTAAAACAGCACCACCATTACATTCTCTATTCCCCTATGCAACTTACATTTTTAATCACTATGCAACAATATATTTATAGTTCTATTTTTATCTTTCACCATGAAATGTAAGCAAGGCTTCCTGAGGGCAGGGCCTTGATTAATTTTATTCATCTCTGTATTTCTTGTGCTTGGATCAATGATTGGTGGGTGATAGGACCCATTAAATATTTGGTGAGTGAAAGTATTTATTCTAAGCCGAGAAGTAAATAATCCTAGTATACCTTCCTGTAAGACTCGGAAGAGCTGAATTCTGACTACGGGCGAGTTTTTGTTTTTGTTTTAAAGGAACTAACAGGAAGGGTATAAGGTAGGTAGAGGCAGATGTACCTTCAGAATTAAAGAGTTGAGGATCAGAGATCTGGATCTTTGACAAGAGCTAAAGGAAAGATCATGAGGGCTAAGCTCAGGTTGCCCTTAAGTAGCAGGTCATTGAATTTCAGGAAATCCAGGAGGTGTGAGACAGAGTCCAGAAAAGAAATTAAGATGTACATTTTAAGTCACTGAGAATTATTGCAGAGGGCTGATGGAGAAGAAAACCGAGCTCCCGATGTTGAAGTAGTCAAAGCTACTCCAAATATAGGACTGGAAGAGGGGATCCAACATTTGATGAGAACTTTTCTGTGATTATTATTCAGTTTTTCAGAGGAGAAGTCTGATTCTCAGAGGGCCAAATGCCCAGAGTTACATAATGAATAATCAGCATAGGCGTGATTAAAACATGGTTCTGTGTGGCTTCAAGTCACACAATTATTCTACAAGATGGTGCCTCTCCCCACTTTTGCCCTCTGGGTGCCACATCTTCTACTCTCCCTCATTTTCTTTCTTTCTCTTTTGAACATACTCTTATTGTCCTAAACATGAGATAGTCTAAAAGTTTTTAAAAAGCCACTCGAAGCCATTTTTTTTTCTCCTTTTCCTTAGTTTGAAGGGAATAGTTAAGAAAGCTAAAATGAGTATAGGTAAACTACTTTTCAGAATCAGCAGGTTATTTAGCTAGTATTTTCTGTGCATAAAGGAGAAGAAACCATCTGAGAGCAAATCACAATAATAAAGGTAAAATGTTATCAACATTTGTTTGGAAAAATAAATGCATTATAGCTTAAATTTCTAGAATTTAGCCAAGGAAAATTACATTTCCGTTAACTTAGAATACCCTGGTTCCTAAAGATTCAGCTACTGCCTACAAAATGTCCCATGCATATTTAGGGGTTATGGGGATAATAGTTTTTAAAAAAAAATCTCTAGGAGGATTAAAAAAATTTAAATGATTTAGGAATAAAACAGAATTTTAGCTGAGTTTTTAGAAATAGTATTATATGTATTTTTAATTTTAGGGAAGAGTGGAGCTGGCTAGAGGACAAAATGAGAAGATTTCATAAAACAGGGAGCCCATTTGTTAGAAGGGCAAAATGAAGTAGTATATTTTATTATACTGATGATCATGTGTTTGAAGTATCATCTGACATCTGGTATTTATCAAAGATTATTATAATCTGGTTTTTGCATAGATATGCTCATAGATGCCTGTTTGTAAGGTTCATAGTTAAGATCGTGTATGATGGGGATACAGTCATAACTTTTAAATTACCTTTATAATACCCATTGGTTTCATTTTTTTATTTTATAAAATAAACTTTTTGTTTCCTTTGTTCATTTCTGGGCTTAGTTCTATAATAACACAATGATAGACTTCAGTTAGAACATTTCAAATTATTAAGTTGGTTCTCCACAGTAAAATGAAGTAGAGCTATGAACAACTAACTAAGAAAAATTCATCTACCCATTCCAAATGATGTATTGATCCAAGCCCATTTATTTGGTACTCCTAGGATCTAATGATGCACAAATGAAAACAGGCAGAAAAGTCTCTGTCCTCATGGGAACTTATATCTGAGGGGGGAGGGCAGACAATATGCACACACATGAACACACACACATACTGCAATTCAAATTAGGTAAGAGCTACAAAATGGGCTGAATGATGAGAAAGTACCAGGATAGTAGGGAGCCACAGGAATGCTAATTTAGATAGTTTAGTCAAAGTTGTCTCTCTGAATAAATCACTTTTAAGCAAGATTCATTTAGAAAGCTAACAGGAAATAAGAGAACATAAATATGTTTCTGGACTTATTAAGAACAACTTATTAGACACCAAGCATTTCATAAAATTATTCTTATGAGCTATTTCAAGCAATATTTACTATAACACAGCAAGATAAGAATTAGTGTACTTATATAAGCTGGGGAATACGATATATAGAAAGGCTGACTACTTTTTCCATGATCAGGCAATTTCTAATTGAGTCAGGATCAGAACTCAGATCTGCCTAAATTCAGAAACCATCTTCTTTCCATTATAGTGAGGTGTCTCATAGATCAAATAAATTCATTCTTTATTGCTGTTTTTTTTCTCTCAAAAGTAGTTTTGCAGAGAATGAAATTTTCTAGACAATTGTTCCTAGTCTCTTTATAGAAGCTATATTAGAATTCTATCTCTCATCACCAGTGAAATTTCCTCCTGTGCCTTAGAAATTGCTGGACACTGGAGACAGAGATAACATGGAGTTGCTAAACTCAAGGCACTTTCATACTGGGGAAGGGGGAAAGACAGACAAAGGAACAATTTCAAGGTACTATGATAGATGCTAACATGGGATACTGTGAGGAGAGATGGGAATTACAGTCTTAAAAGTAGGAAAGAGGAAAGGAGGGGAGTGTATAACTAATAGACGTAACAATTATCTGGGTCTTGAAACAGCCAGAAATACAAAGTTCGGGGAAGTAAGGGACTGGGAGTTCTATTGGTTTCTGATGGCTGCTATAACAACCACTAGGTAGCTTAAAACAACAGAAATTTATTCTCTCACAGTTCTGGAAACTAGAATTTTAAAATCAGTATGACTGTGCTAAAATCAAGGTGTTGGCAGGGCTGCACAGCCTCTGGGGCCGTTCTGGGAAAATCTGTTTTCTTGCCTCTTCTGGCCTCATGTAGCTGCAGGAGTTCCCTGACTTGTAGCCACATTGCTTCAATCCCTACCTCTCTCTTTACATGGCCTTCTCTGTAGGTGTGAAATTTCCCTCTTCCTCCCTTTTGTAAGGGTGCATGCAGCTGAACTTAGGGCCCACCCAGATAAACCAGAATAGTCTCATCTCAAAACCTTTAACTTACTCAAGGCTGCAAAAACTTCCTCCCTTCCTCCCTATGTCCCTCCCTTCCTCCCTTCCTTTCTTCCACCCTTCGTTCCTTCTTCCCTTTCTTCCTTCCTTTCTCCCTTCCTCCCTCCGTCCCTCCCTCTCTCCTACCCCCTCTCTCCCTTCCTTTTTCATCTCTCTCTCTCTTTATTTCCTGTATTAAGTAACATTTACAGACACTAGAGATTAGGGTGTGGTTATCATTGGGGGAGGGTCATTTTGAGCTTACATTAAGGGTTAAAGAAAAATATCATGCAGAGGGAAAAACAAAACAGATGTTTGGAGGCTGTTAGAGTAGCAAGCACTGGGTGGGTACCGACTGAGAAGCTGAAGAAGGCCAAGGGCAGTCATTGAGTAATACCGGCTTTGTACTAATTTTTTGGAAACATCACTCACAATTCATTAATTCCATTATTTATTATGTATTTGATTAAGCTCTGTACTAGAAACTGGAAGAACATAATGGTGGGACAATATCTATTTACTGTCCCTGCTTTTATAGAGCTTGTGAGATCATGGTAGAAATGGGCCATTAAAGACACACACACACACTCACACACACACAAATTATATGATTACGCACTGTGATAAATCCTATGAAGAGTAACACAAGGTGCCATTAGGACTGATAAAAGTCCAGAGAAAGCCAGTACGTTTTTTTAGGATAAAAAAGTTCTAACCCGTTGCATGTTGATATATATCTTATATGAAATATTTTAGATAGTCCATTCTTTCTGTAACACCTATTGACCTGCCACAGTTTGCTTTTGTTTATTGCTTTTCCTCATTTGGGCACAAAATTATTCTTCATGTGATATTGCTTGAGATTTATTTGCATGATGTCTTCAAGGATGTGACACTTGAAATGTAGTCTAATGGATGTGTTGTAGTTAACTAGGTAAAAGGTGGAGGGAAGCAGAGAAGAACATTCTGGACAGACATGAATACTCTCGGATGAAAAGAATTGCATTGAAGGTGTGGAACAAAGACCAGTGCAAGTACTGTGCAGAGAAAGTTCTGTGCAGAGAGAGGGAGGGAGACTGGTACAAGATGTACCAGCAGAAGCCTGATGATGAAAGGCCTACTAGACCACACTCAGATGTTTTTTGTTGTATAAGCATTGGAAATTAAGGGAAGGTAGTTTTGTGGGGTTTTTTTCTTCTGCTTTCTAAATTTTGCCTACAGTAAAATTTGCTGTATTTGGTATACTGTTTGATGAATGCATGTAGTCATGGTAACTAAACCCACAATTAAGATATTGATCAGTCCCTACACCTTCCTAGCATTTCCTCCTGTTACCCCTTTGTGATCAACTCTTCCCCCTTTCCATGGCCCCTGACAAACACTGATTAAACAAAGGGGTCTTGCAGTCATAGAAAAAAGACTAGGTGAAAAGATAAGACTGGAATTCAAACGAGAAAAATGATGACCTAACACCGTGGTAGCAGAAAAAGTGGAAAGGGTATAAATTCAGGAGATATTTAGAATCCAGAATCAAGAGAGTCTGATAACATTAAATATTGTAATTGCAGGAGAAGGAAGAGTGCGGGAGATTTACAGGTCAATGGCTTGGGTAACTAGGTAAAGACTGTCATTAGGTGGACGCAGAGTTCAGCCTGCGGTGCAAATGTGACATCTAGGACCAGGTGCTTGGGAGGATTTTGCATCTCACACCCATTAAAGTGGTTTCAACTAAAGATTTACATTTAATAGGTGGCCAATTTTGAAAGGAACCTGAGCCTTTTTCGCTCCTCACTACCTAATGAACATTTTGTAAAATTAAAAGTAATAACAGTATAAATGGTATACTAACTGTGTGCTAATCATTGTCCTATATTTCTAAACTTACATGTATTTAATTCTGGAAAGAACTCAAAAGTAAAAAGCACTTTTATTTTACAGAAAAGAAGCCAAGGCATAAAGATACTAAGAAATACGGTCAAGGTTTCACAACTAGTAAGACTTAGAGCTTGTAATACAAGCACATTATTTTAACTCAAGTCCTGAAGAGTTGTTCACATGCATTTTATTAGATGTTTAAGGCAGTTGTACTTGTTGAAGGAAATTAATCATAATTATCTATGAGGCTTTTAACAATATAAATGCAGTGGGTATTCATGACTCCTTCCACCTTACCAGACATATGAAAGCAAGGGAACAAGGGCTACAAGACTCTTTTTAATGTCCATACCTGATTTTGATACGTCCCTCCTTCCCTCTTTCATCATTAAACACTACCACTCACACACACTTGAATGTTGACAACCACTGGGTTTATGGTTAGTGTTCTGAGGTTGCTAATTCATTGTGGATATTAATGGATCATAGAAGTATGCAACAAGTAGGTGTGAACAAAAAACCTTTCTGGACTAGAGCATGCCCTTAGTATATTCTGAGTGGGCACCTGGCATTTCTTGCATAGGGCTGCATTATATGGACTATATTTTGGCCATTAATATCATACATTGGAATTTATGGGCATAATTAACAGGTAAAATTAGCATTTTTAGTGTAGTCACGGGGTTATATGAACAGAGTTCTAGAAGTTTATTTAGGCTGCAACATGTTACATACACTGCATATGTAGCCTGCTTGTTTTCCATAGGCGTATTTTTGAAATTCATACTGAACTGTTTTTTGTATTGTATTGTATTTTACATTTTATAATGGAAATGAATATCTAAAGAAATATTCTCTTTTTAAAAAATATAGACCTTCATAAAACGAGCGAGCATTTCTAAACTATCTATTTTGTAAATCTATATGTTCATATAATGCATTTGGATACATGTAATGATAGTCTCTTTTTCCACATTTATGTTTATGGAGATGAACCTTCCAATATTAATTTGTAGAAAACCCTAATAATTTTTCATCTGTCAGTTTTGTTGTGTAATTCAAAGATTTAAAGATGTCTCTCATATATTCTAAAGAGGCAAGAGTAAAATCTGATTATTTTATATTAACTTTGTGTCATTACCAAAAAGCAAAAACAAAAATAAACTAAAAGTAAACAATAATGGAAATAAAACATGTCAATAATGTTGATTTCTGTTGCAAGACCTAGGCTACATTTCAGATAAATGTTTTATTTCAATCAATGTATGTTAGCTCTTTCTCAATATTGAAATCACCTTTTCCACTGTGTCTGAAGCAACACAAGTCTTACTGTTGTATTATGCCTATTTGTTTATTCAGTATTCACCTATAATGAGAAACACAATTGAATTGGTAAATAGATCATTGAAGGTGACTTTTGCAATACAGTACTAATATCAGCATCGATTTATAATCCTCTCTTACTTCAAAGACTGAATAATGATTGAGTTATAATATTTTGACCTGCTGTTCATATTCCAGAGGATTATGGCTCAGACATCCCAGGTGGTTTTAGTAGAATGGATAATGTATTCTTCCCCTAGAGGAAGGTAAATGCAATATGCCAGAGGTATGGTCTCAGACATTTTAATTTTATGTTATTTTTCCTTTTTTTTTTTTTTTTTTTTGTTAGCCTTTAGAAGAGTAAGGTAAAGAAAACTGGGTGGTCATGAAATTGATCTCTTTCACAAAAGAATCATGGGTTGTGAGATTGTGACCCCGTTCCCAGGGCCCTTGTGATATAGACTGTTTTCTCAGTACTTTATAATGTCCCAACTGCTGGTTTTGGAGGAAACAAAACCAAAACTAAAACCAAAAGAGAATGAGTAAAAAAGAAAGAAGCAAGTTATATGTATATGTATATGTATATGTATATGTATATGTATATGTATATGTATATGTATATGTATATATATATAACTTGGCAGTGATCTTACACTGTTAAATCCTATAGAGAAATAACATGGGGAATGCTTATAATGTAACATAAAACAAGATTCAAATGTGTGCATGTTTTATCATTTCAACTGTTTTTCAAAATTTCCAAATTATAAGCATAGGGGGAAGAAAGCTGGAAGGAAATAAACCAAAATGTTAACAGTTGTCATATTTTGGCAGAGAATATATATTTTTTCTTCATATTTTTCTAAATGCTGCATTTTCTAAAATTTTAAATGAGTTTGGCCAACTTTTATAATATAAAAAGACACAATTTGGTGACAGTAGCAATTATATGGTTGGCGATCCATGAGTCTAATCAGAGTTCAGGCTAAAAAATATGAAAACGAACACAAATTTCAGCTCTGTCTTTAGGATGCATTGTATTCTTCCCATGAATTCCTGCCTTTTCATCCTCATTACCACCACCTTCCTCCCTCCCTTTCCCCCAGTCATCAACTTGAAAACCTCCAAGACCTTCTTCTGAAAAAAACCTTCCTAATCTTTCCACCCTATGTATATCTAGATTCTTCTGAAATCTCTACTCAGGAGCAACACTTAGCTTTCCGACAGCTGCTTTCACTAGGGCATTTGCAGCTTGTGTGATAAGCTAATATTACTGGATGATATTGTAGTGCCCTTTTATCATGGTGAGATTAAGACACTATAAAAGATCTCTGGGGAAATACTTTTTGATAAATGGAGAATTTTAACCTTAATGTGAATTCACAAAGATTGGGATCTGATTTCTACTTCTGTCGATTCATACCTGTATAACACTGGGGAAGTTGCTTAACCTTTTTTTTTTCTAAGCCTCAATTTTCTCATAATTGCAACGGGAAATTTAATACATATTTCATCAGTTTACTGTGAAGGATTAGTAGGTACAGTTCATATGAATGAAATGAACTATTTGGACAGTATCTCTTATTCCTCAAAACAAATTGATAAGGTAGAGAACATTGCATCATTGCAACCCAGCCCTAGCACGTGAATTAGCAAAGAACTATTTACCCACTCTCTTATCCAATTCAAGTTTAATTTAAATGAACTTTAACATTTACAGAACATTTCTTATATACTAGGTTATATTCACATATGTTCACTTTTTATAGATTATATTTTGCCTAGTGATTAATCAGTACCTGGAAATAAATGTATTAAATTTGATCTACAAAAAGAGTGATGATGAGGCCATGGCATCATTCAAAAAACATTTTAGATAATTCAAACAATTATTTTTGTGACTTCTTTTCCCCTCTCAAAATGTGCCGCACTGGCTATGTGGCAAAGATGTTGTGAAGTCATAATTTCATTCCATATTAGCAATCATTGGAAAGGTTAGGGTTTAAAAACAATGAGATAAATTAAAAAAGAAATTAATGTGAACCTTTACTGGCCCCTAAATGTGGTCCCAGAGCTTTCTACACCTTGGATATTGCAAAGAGATGAGAGGGGAGGGCAGGAAAGTATTGGTTTTCTTTTTTAAATGCATTTTTCTGAGGATCAGAGGATTTCTTATTATATCTATTTCACCTTCAAAATGGCATCACTGAGTTCCCAGTAAAGGTTACTCATGAATCAGAGGATTTGCCTTTCTGACTCAGAGTTTACTGGCATTTGCTAAATGTTTGGCTTTGTATTCATCTTTGCCTTTGACCATGATTAAAGTAACGCATTGTCTCATTTATTACATAGCACTTGCTGTGCTAATTAAGGTTGAATCTTTTGACATTGTCCCCCACAGTGGCTTTAATTACCCAGTAATTCGTCTGAAATGCTTTGCAGCCAGAACCTGTTTCTACAAGATTTTTGAGGCTTTAAGTTGTCTGAGGCCATACATGAGCTGTTGAGGAGTAGACTCCTTTGCTGCTCTCCAAACCTATCCTTCACATGTAACCTGAGGCATTCCCTTAGTGAGAGGAGTCCTGAAACATTGATTGCCCCTTGTATCCCTTCTTCTTGGCTCTGTTTCTGTAATTACCACATTTGGGAAACACAGTGTATAAGAGGAGCTGTTTCCCCAGTTATGAACGCTAAAATATGTCTTCCTAGGTCCTTGTGGAAAAGGTCAAGAAATTAATTTTGGATGAGTATCTTCACCTTCTTAGCCAGTTGCTGTATTAATGATCTTATGACAGATTACTCCTTAAACTGGCCCCAGCACAGGTCAGAGTGGAGTGAGAATATTGTCTATTTAATGAGGCAAGGATCATAGCCCCTAGTATTTTATCACTGGCAGGAAGATGGAAGCAGTCATCAGGGACAGAGAATGGCCAAAGAAGTCTAGCGCCATATATGGAGCAATGTGTTCTCCTGAGAAGATAACAGGCCTCCATGAATCTAAACATTTTTCTTTTTGCTCAAGGCTTTTGTATTCAGCTTAAGAAGTGAATGTTACATTACTTTGTTTCATTTTTTACTTTTTATTTTAAATTTTTGCAAAAACACATAAAGTTGAAAGAATCAAATCATGATCACCTCTATACTCACCACCAAAATTCAGTAATTAATATTTTGACATAATTACCACCAATTTTGCTTTTCTGATAGATAGCACTACATGCTTACCAAGCATCTCTAAATAATCTCAAATTCACTATTATCAAGTCTAAAAAAAATAATAATTCCTTAAAGCATCTATACTGTGTATTCGACTCCTGCAATTGTCTCATTAATATCTTTATAACTATTTTTCTCCAACTGGTAACTTTTCTATTTGTTTTTTTCTTTTTTAATCTAGGCAAGTCCTCAATCCTTATTTTTTAAAAAAATTATTGGCTTTTATTTTAAGAGACTAGATGAATTATCTTGTGACATATCACTTTCTTCATTGATCTGTTTTCTGGTGGTGTCTTTTACCTTGTTCCTCTATCTTCTGGTATTTCCTGTAAATGGAATGTCTTGTCTCAAAGCTTAATTAAATCATGTTAAACTTTTTTTGGCTATAATACTTCCAGGATGGTGCTGAATCCTTTATATTAAATCCAAGTAAGAGGTACATTACTGCAGGTTATCCCATTCTTTGTGATGCTTAATTTGCTCATTTGGTTAAAGTCATGACTTCTAGATCTCTTCATTATACAAATATCTTCCACCATCAATATTGGTAAAGCAAACTTTAGGGTGATATTTTATCACTGTTTCCATGTGCTGATCCCCAACAAACTTTGATCTAGTGGTTTAAATACCCATTGATGATCCTGACTTTCTGAATCACTTGTTTATTCATGGTTACTGAATGGAGATTTTCCCGTTGTTCTCAATCTTTCTACATTTATTTTTTTCACATTTGAAGGGAAAAAATTATAAATTATTTTTTAACCCTCATAAATTCTTAGTTGATACGCTCTCCTGAAAATAAAACTTAGATTAACAAGAGAACAACTAGCAGTTTACTGAGGTGCATTGTATCCATCACGCAGGGAAAAACTCAGCTCCAAACTATCCCTTTCTCAAGGCAGGGGTTTAGGGTCCTTGCTTAAATAGTATTTTAACAAAAAGCAATAAATCCTGTAACTACAAGATAAAGAAGAGAAAAGCTCCAGTCTTTTAAAAGGTGGGAATATGTGGAAAGCTAATAAAATCTCTTCCCAGATTTCTCTGGTTGCTGATGGTGCCTTTTCTCAGCAGATAAGCAAGTGCTGTCACCAAAAGGAAAGAATTTAATTCCTGCCATTAGGCAAATAGAGGCTGAGGCAATGTGTCTCCCTGAGTTTTTAGTGTCTTTAATAACAATCATTAACAATTTCATTTCCTTCACATTCATCTGTAATATTGTTTTTCCCTCAACATATGGGTATGAACTCCAGTTCTTCCTAAAAAGAAAAACCTTAAAACTTATTCCTGGGAACTAACACTGGCACTTATTTCCTCTGTACTTGGACTTGGTCTCTGACTTTTTCTCAACTCAGCTGTTTAGGCAGTCATCACCTAACAGCATGCTAAATCAAACCTGTTTGCCAACCTAGTTGGCAAGTCCTAGTTTGACGGACTCCAGCTAAGATGACTGGTTGCACTTCAACTCTGGGTTCCTAGTGAAGCATATTAGGCCTGTAGTTTGTAATTGTAGTTTTGTGGAAGTTGGTCAAACTTGGAGAGGGGTGAGTAGCAGAGGGAGTTGGATGTAGTTTTTAAATATTTAAGTTGCTCTGAAGATTAGAAAGCCTGTATGCAGTTTGGAAATCCTGACATACCAGAGAAACAGACATGGATGTCTGAGAGGTAGAAGTGGATCTCTGAGAAAGAGATATGGATCCTATCAAAGTTTCACTTATCTGTTTTGCTTTAGTAAACTTAGAAATTTTAAAGAGTAAGATAGACTTGAAAAGAATGTATGGTGAGTTAATGTTGCACTTGATAAACTTACAGAGAAAGCCATGCCCCTAAATATGTATATGAAAAGACTGACCCATTACTGAGTTATGAGTAAAGATAGTATTAATAGCTGAGGTTGCTTTTCTCTGTGCCATTGATTTGTTTTCCTTAGGTACTATTCTGAGTGTCTTAGTTGTTCCGAGTATTGTCCAAGAAGACAGAGGTTATTCTTGAAAATAAGATTTAGTTATCTAACAAAGAGACTCTCTTCTACAGGTCCAGATTGCATCTTGAATTCCCACCAAATGCTTCTTAATGTGCATAACAACAAAGTTCTGGTGTCCTTGCAGTGGTGCCATAGACTCACTATCACACCTTATCACTGATGCCAAAATGATCCACAGGGCACATGTCACTGAAAGCAGGTCAGTGTTTGGTGCAAAGAGAAAAACAATCCTCAGAATTTAATACAGAGCCTGATCTTGATCTGCTTCTCCTTCTCGAGTGAAGAGCACCTGCTAGCTAGGCTGCCCTATTGCACGGCTCCAGGGGGAGCACCATTCAGCAGGAACCGCCCAGGCTATAGAAAGGAAGACAGCATAGAACTTTCTTCATGCTCTGCCAAGAAGGGTAGAAGAGAAGATGTGACAATTGGACCTAATAGGTTTGCACCTACTCCCTAAGCAGTGCTAGTGACCAACTTTGCTTTTCTGTCTCTTTGATGCCTTGAGGCTTCTTTTTTTTAGGTTCCTCAGCTTTGCTTTAAATAATTCTCAAGGCATCCCACCCTAACTGGTTAAATTTAGGTGGATCTATCTAGCAATGTGGAGGAATCATACCCAAGAATGCACAAAATGTTACCTTCAGCCACTTGAGGCATTTTCAAATCTCTGCAGTGTAACTATATGGGCAACTATAGAGAATCAGACAAACTGAAATTGGCCAAACTTGTAATCACATGAGTTGACTGTGAATGATAGTTTGAGACTGGCATGTTTACCCACTTGGTAACATCAGATAAAGGCAGATTTTTAAGTAGTTCTATTAAGAATGGAGAATAATTTTCTTAGCATTTAATTACGTACAGCATTTCATTGTCCTTCAATTGTTTTAAATCTGTATGCACTGTTTTCCCGAATTGGCATTTTTTTAAGGACAGGGGCTATGGTAGCTTTTGTTATTTACCCCCATAGAATCTTGTTCAGAACAGAGCACAGAGTAAGCACACACAGAACTCTTGAGGGGTGTGTGTAGGTGGGTGTGAGTAAAATTTGGTTCTACTGTTTCTCAATTTGACAGAATGGCAGGAAGAGAAAAAGGTTAGAATGGTTAACTGAATATGTTGGAAAAGCAAAGTATTAACATGATATTTGTAGGTATTTCAAACATAGAAAAAGAGTTTGTGATATGTAATGAGTAGAGGGAAAAGTAATAAGACATTTAAAGACTGCAGTTTCTAGGGAGAAGGAGAGATTCAACTAGAGAAAATTTCAGCTAGAGAAGTTAATAGAGAGAGTGTAACAGTATCAGAGATGTGAAGGATCAGTCATGCCCCTGTATGGTAACCCGAGAAACAGAAAAATCCAAGAACATTAGGCTATCGAATATCTGGTTATAGCAAAGTGATCTGGGGAAAAGTAGTAACAAAGTTCGTTTTCATAGACTAAACTGTGGGAAAAATGTATTTTTGGATATATATAAAAAATATATTTTGGATATATATATATATTTGGATATATATATATAGTATTGTGGAAAGATATATTACCTAGTATTTTGGAGATATATATATATATATAAAATACTAGGTATGTACATATATATATATATAATACTAGGTGTGTGTGTATATATATATATATACACACACACACACACACACACACACACACACATATATATGAGCAGAAGTACTCAAAGTAAGTCCAAAAGTCCATATGTGATCATTAAGGAAAGGTAAGTACACCTACAAAATATATATATATATATATATACCTAGTATTTTATATATATATATACACCTAGTATTATATATATATATACACCTAGTATTATATATATATATATACACCTAGTATTATATATATATATATATACACCTAGTATTATATATATATATACACCTAGTATTATATATATATATATACACCTAGTATTTTATATATATATATATATATATACACCTAGTATTATATATATATACACACACACACACACACACACACACACATCTCGTATTGTATTCGGTAAAATAAATTGTGTCTTCTAAAGGAAAGTTTGTAGCCAGGTAGACATATTTTCCTCCACATATAAGTGAACAGTTCATTGAACATTAATGATGGTAAAGAGAGAAGGAACACAAATGATGGGATATTAGGAAAGTGAGGGTATTTATTGGACAAGGAAATAAACCAAAAAAGAATGCCAGGCAGAAAAGAAGAAGGCAGAGGAAAACACTTGAATTTCTCGCTACTGTTCTAGGGCATGAAAAGCAGAAGTCCTCAAAATAAGTCCAAAAGTCCATATGTGATCATTAAGGAAAGATAAGTACACCCACAAAAACATGATCTTATTATTTCATATTTATAGGTGGTGCTACATAGGAGAGAGAGCAAGATGAGAGGGGACGTGGGAAGAGAGTGAATGAGAGAGAATGCCAAAGTAAAGTTCAATTATATAATCATGTAGCTCCACTATTATGTAAAATGTGTAAATAAAACACTGGAGCATATGTCATTCATCAGAAGACCTTTCAAAACCGTAGACATTGAGGAACATATCACAGTAAAATGACTAGATATAGAAAAAGTAGACTATACAAAAGCACTCATCCAAATGTACACGGAAGAAATTATGAACTAATTGCAGTAAGTGAATGGTTATTTCACAAACAGAGGATAAGAAAACTAGTCATTTGCAATGAGAGGAGGAAGAGCTAAGACACATTCTGTCCTTATAAGCCTCTAATTTGCAAATCTCGTTCACAGCACAAATTAACTTGGAAGGCAGTTTAGAACTTGGAATACATTTTCCCATAGGAATAATATTTCACATTAAGTTCCCAGGCCTGTTCACAAAATGATTCTTATACAAATATGAATCTGCAGCATAGTATCAACAATAATATCTTCCTATTTCAACTTTTTGACTCTAATTAACCACCAGACATAAGATTATATCTCTGACGAACTTGCTAGGTTGAGGAGCTCCTAGAGTACAAATGACCTGTTACTTTCCATATGCCTTTAAGAGAGTCTGTTTTCCATTTAATGAGTCAGACCACTTTCGTTCTCTACTTGGCTATTTCATTTACAGGAAGTATTGATATTTATGTCATTTAGAAGTAATACATCTTGGGCAATCATGAAAAGCTAGAGTATTTATTTCATCCCTGGCTCTTCAAATGAGTTAAGAAGGCTATCTCCAAATATAAGTAGTCACATAGGTCAAGACCAAAAAGTGGGTTATAAAAATCTGTTTTGGCTAGTAAATGACGGTGTATAAGTGTCACACAATTAGAAGTGCATTGCTTCTTATGGAGCAATATAACTTTAAAGGAACAGATAGATTTAACAAATATTTTGGTAGCCTGGATTTAGCTGCATTTGAATGTATCCAGACAGTAAGAGAACACACAAAAAATGAGAAAATGAAATAATATTACATGAATAGAAAAAGCATAATAAATTCTACACAGGTAGAATTCAGTTTTCACAAATGTCATTTTAACATCTGGTTCTGTATGACAAGACTTTTTCCAAATCCTGACAACTCTTAAATATTCTAGTTTGCTGATATGGATAAAAACAATCTTTTGAAAAGAAAACAATACTATAAAACAAATGTCTTCAAAAGTTCATCAACATGGAAATACCAAATCTTTATAAGAAACAAGTTTGGGAGGGGCAGGAGAACTACCGGAGAGAAGAGAAGCGCTGGAGCATAAAAGTGCCAGAGGAGATGTGTTCAGTTAGGACACAGGTGGCAACCCCAAGGGTCATCCGGAGGATGAGTCCTCTCTGCAAAACACTCTAAAGACTGCCTCCTGCTGTACTCAAGGATTTGATGTTTGTTCATGTTAGCTGTGACATCAGAGCTGGTCCACGTGCTTCTCTTGTCCAGGTCTCTTTGAATGAATTGTCTTCAAATCAGTCTTTTCAAGGTAAATCAGAACTCTTCCCCACCAAAATACCTTTTTGCTTGTTTTTGGTATTGATTCTCCTGAAATTGATGATACAGAGTTGTGATAATGCAGAGTTCATGGAACTGAGTTTTGTCCATCTTAGTCTACAGAACCTATGGAGGGTCCTTGGCCTAGCTGGTTGCATCTAGATGCCAAGGATGGTCAATTCTACAAAGGAGTCCTGTACTTGGCTCTCTATGTTCTCTGTATTCTCTTTCTTTTCTGTAATTTTTTTCTGCCCTAAATCTCTACTTGGATCTTTTCATGACGGATGCTTTCTCATCATTTGGGTGCAACTCAATACCACTTTTCCACAGAGGCCATTTCTAACCAACAAATCAGAAGGATATTGGCATATTTTATCTTCCTATCCTGATTTGTTATTTTCAGGTAACTTATCACCACCTGGCATTTTTTTTTTATCTTATCACCAACCAGCATTTTTAAATTTTACATATAAATTTTATATGTGTTATATATTTATATACATGTATATATACATATATATAGAGAGAACTGAATAGCAATATGAAAAATTGTATTAGGTACTATTCTTAATAGATCTTTTAAACTTTTTATTGATACATATTAATTAGATGTGTACATGATTGGGGTGCATATGATAATTTGATACATTCATATAATCAAATCAGGGCAATTGAGATATTGATCAACTTATGGATAGTTTTTGAAAGCAGATTTGTTGGGGGATAGAGAATTAGGTACCAAACAGGGTAACAGAGGAATAAAATGGGTGTTAAATTTTCAGTTACTTTAATTTCATCTAATACCAAGTCTTCTCTGTGAACCTCTTTCTTTGTCTTTTATTTCCCTTGGTTTCTTGAGAATTGAAGAGGAACTGAGAGGTATGGATGTCTAGGGTGAGATGAGAAAATGTAGTAACTAGGGAAAAAAATGGGAAGGGGATTCTATGCTTATAAGCAGTGGTATGAGAGCTGTGAGACACTTCCTTTAAGAAACTTCCATTTTTATGCAGGGGAGAGCAAGAGGGTTAAAGGGTAGGCAACTGATGGCCACGCACACAGCAATCAAACTTTTAGTTTGTTCATAGGTTGACATTTAATTTATTGTCCAATATAGGATACTTTTTAGAGTGAAACAAGGTGTTATTAATAATTAAGAATTTAAAATGACAGATTTAAACCAGCATGTGTGATTACTTACTGAGAGATTATATCATCTTACTGTCTTTTTTTTTTTGAGCAAGGGCCTCATATATCATCTTAATGTCTTTTATATAGGTACCACATAAGGACATTTACCTTGTTTAAAACAAATTAAACCCTGACCAACTATGGTGGATCTATGATGGAAAAGATAAATGGTATTATTTAAGGACCTGAGAAAATGCTTTACCTACTCCACACCCTAAAATAACATCTTCAAAATAAAATGTAGCTATGCCTGGGAGTCTCCCCTAGTAAAGCGAGTTAAGCTTTATCAGCCATTCAGCTTTAATGTAATTAGATTTATCTAAGCATTTTCTTAACTTTATTTTGATTGAGATTCATAAATTCAGAGATCCTAAATCATAGGCACCAGAAAGAGGTGTATGTAAGTGTGTGTGTTAGGAGTTGGGGATTAAGAGAAGTCATCAAGTAAAAAGTCAAAAAGGAGACATAGGCCTTCTTACATTTAGGTCACCAGTGTACCCATAGGACTGGCCTTGATTATAGCAAAGAACTTCTACTAATGACTTCTATTTTGTTACTATTATGGAATTTTACTACTTAATTCTAGTGTCACAATCAATTTAATGAAAAATTCATTTTTTTAAAGTTTTCATGACTGGAGAGAGAAAAGTAAAACTGAAAAGAAAAAGAGCAGACCTGAGAAGATTAAACAGTATGTTAAATCCTTTGGGATCTGTGAATAAAGAAAGTGCTAGATGAACACCAAATCATTATTACAGGTTTCCTCTGCTTAATTTCTATGGTTGCATTTTAGTACTACCAAAAAGTAACATTTCAAAAAGCCTGGCCTCATTTCTCAAGATATTTCAGACATATGTTTTGCCTCAATATGTCTAGATGTAGTCTTATTCTTCCATTTCATTTTGCATGTGTAGACTCAACCAACATGTATTTATGGTGTCCTTAGACATTCACTGAGCACCTGACTCAGAATTAAACTTTTAACATTTTGTAGGTCAACCTTAAATAAGTGATAGAACAGAAAGGAGAACAGAAGGCCTATTGTGCATTGCTCTGCAGAGGAACATGAAAAAAATGAATGGCTTGAGAAGCTATGGTAACTAAAGCTGCTAGCAGAGAAATCTGACAGTCACAGAGTGTTCGTGAAGCACTGGGCTAGAAGAACAGATTTCTGATTTATGCTTCAGAGTCTGGAGATCGTGAAAATCTATTTGAGAGAGTTTAATGTGAGAAAGTCATACACTCTGAAAAATTAAGTTTGCAGAAGTCACACTGCATATGAAATAGTCATTTACACATGGATTGTGTTTAATTACTTAATAGATTAGAAAATATAGATTTATGTCTGTTTATATAGTCTATCAACAAATTCCAATTTATTTAAATGCCACATAGGTTATGCAATCTCATTACTCCCCTATATGGACTAGGTAATTTCCTCTGCCATCTATAGCAATCCTTACACCCACGCTTAAACAAAACAACAAATGTAGAGTTCTATGGATGAACAAAAACGTTGGCTCCATTGGCCACACTCACCCCACCCTCACTTTCATCTAAAGTAATGGGAGTAAGTCCCGCAACTATCTCAGCGATTCTGAGAGCAGCAAGGTGTGCCCTCTTGCCACTTTCTCCTTCTCAGTCTCACAATAGCAGTTATAGAAAGAAAAAACATGCTTTCTGGGAATTTTTCCAGAAGAGAAAGAGACTAAATAATACATTCAGTGGACAAACATAGAAAATAAGATCTAGAAATGGAATATAAAAGGAGATAGGGAAAGAAGAGAAAGAAAATGTGTCAAAGTAGTTATAAAGATGATAAATATAATGGTAGAGAAGACAGTTTTTAATCCAGAAAAATTATGTTAAAAAAACTAAATTCTAAGTAGGAAATCAACCAGTAGCTCAATGATAAAAGAAAAACTCAAAAATAAATGTGTAAGTAGAAACATTTATTGAAGGTTATGATACTGATGTGTAAAAATTTAGTTCAGTATATGACCATTCTTTCCAAATAACATGAAATATCTGCTCTTCAGATATTAGAATATTTCAAATGCAAATCAAAACCACAAAGAAATATCTCACATCAGTCAGAATTGTTGTTAGTAAAAAGTCAAAAAATAACAGGTGCTGGCAAGGTTTAAAAAAAGGAATGCTTGTATACTGTTGCTGGGACTGTAAATTAGTTCAACCATTGTGGAAAACAGTGTGGTGATTCCTCAAACACCTAAAATCAGAACTACCCTTCAACCCAGCAATCCCATTACTGGGTATGTATCCAAAAGAATACAAATCATTATATCATAAAGACACTTGCACCAGTATGTTCATTGCAGCACTATTCACAATAGCAAAGACATGGAATCAACCTCAATGCCCATCAATGATAGTCTGGATAAAGAAAATGTCATACATATACACCGTGGAATACTATGCAGCCATTAAAAAGAGTGTGTCATGTACTTTGCAGTAACATGGATGGATCCAAAGGTCATTATCCTTAGCAAACTAACATAAAAACAGAAAACTAAATACCATATATTCTCACTTATAAGTGAGAGATAAATGATGAGAACACATGGACATATAGAAGGGAACAACAGACACTGGGGCTTTTTGGAGGGTGGAGGGTGGGAAGAGGGAGAGGATCAGGTAATATAACTAATGGGTACTAGGCTTAATACTTAATACCTGGATGTCAGAATGGTCTGTACACCAAACCCCCATGACCCAAGTTTACCTATATAACAAACCTGCACATGTACCCCTGAACTTAAAATAAACATTAAAAAATAGAAGTGAATCAGAAATTCAAACTGAAAAAATAATTCAGAATACCTACATGCTTAGAATTCTAAGAATTAGAATGTATAGGTAATATATTCAGATATTCACATTTTGTTTAATGTTCATTTAAATGTCTGGGTTCTGCACAAAGTGCAGTAGAAAACCTAAGAAGAATACTAGGAAAGGTATAAAGTATAAAGGAAAGTACAAGAAAAAATATGTGTGAATAGGAGCTTTTTTATTTTTTAGATTTAAATTTGGATATCACCAGCATTTTCCCTAAAGAATTTGAAATGTGACATATCTACTTTGTGATCCCAGCTCCACCCTCATTTCATGCTGGGCTTACTGACAGATTGCTCATTTACTTACCTTTCCTGGCAGAGCAAGCTGTGATACATCACTGGGAAAATTACATGTGCTTTTACCCTATTTTTTTTCATACATTCATATATTTGGACTATGGGAAAAAGCTAGAGAATTACAGCATATGCAGTTCTTAATAGTTGACAGGTCTACTAACAACATTTTTTCCTATTGGTTCTGTTTCCATTCTACACCTGATCTAAAGATAAATGAGAGTACATTAAATATTTCCAAACACCTTTTGTGCCAGCTCAGCAATTTCTTTTGCCAGTGTAATTTTCTATGTTTTTTTTCTAAGAGATTCTGTTCTGGATTTTTCTGAAATAACAACTTGCTCTGACCTTGTGTACTTGGGCAAAAATCCTAGTAAGCTTTTTGACATTGAATGAAAGTCTTGGAAAACTACTCTGTTGATTAAAGAAATTTACTGGACAAGAGGATTTGTTTTCCCTTTCTGATTTAAGTTCAATTTTCCCCTTCATTTGCTGAAAGGTTTGCTGTCTTAAAGCATGGAATGGATCTTTGCCCTTTGCCATTCTTGGACAGAACGGACTTGACTCAGGACTCTCCATACAGACACTGTGTAAACCTTAAGACATGGCTGGACTGCACTTAAAACTTCACACCAGTAACAAATGCTTCTCTATGTTCTGGCAATCTAAAAGATGGGAAGATGTCTGATAAGTTTGGAATCACTGTCTTCTCAATCAAAGGTCCCAAAGACCTTTGGGAAATAGTTGCTTCCCATGAGGAAAATGAGAAGAAAAGGCAAAAGTAACGATTTTATGCAGTAAGTATTTGTGCTAAATATTTTATCTACATATGATCCCATTTATATTTCCTTTTTTTTTTTTTTTTTTTTTTTTTTGAGACGGAGTCTCGTGCTGTTGCCCAGGCTGGAGTGCTGTGGCGCAATCTCGGCTCACTGCAAGCTCCGCCTCCCGGGTTCACACCATTCTCCTGCCTCAGCCTCCCAAGCAGCTGGGACTACAGGCGCCCGCCACCACGCCCAGCTAATTTTTTGTATTTTTAATAGAGATGGAGTTTCACCATGTTAGCCAGGTTGGTCTCAATCTCTTGACCTCGTAATCTGCCCGCCTCAGCCTCCCAAAGTGCTGTGATTACAGGCGTGAGCCACTGCACCCGGCCGATCCCATTTATATTTCAAGACAATCTTCTATCAAGCAAGATATACACTAAGAGACTTAAAGTTGTGGCGTTTAAATAACTCTTCAAAATTACCCATATAGTATCAGAGCTGGATTCAAGATAGTGGAAGGAATAGATAGGAGAAAATGAAAAGCAGAGACATAGCACTGTTGGCCAGTATAATTCTGGTTTCAAAAATTCTGTCCCATTGTGAGAATATATATTCAAGCATTTTAAAAATATCTTCTATGTGAGAATTGCATTTGTAGCCTGGCAATCACATCTCTTGATCCTTTTTAGTTGTAATAGGGAAAAGCTGGTTAATCAACCACTGTACAAATTGAAGGAAAATATGTTGTTTTTAAGAGAAGTGGGGACGACTAATAGATATGGATAGATACATAGATTTGGAAGTACATTTTGATTTTAATGTGGTCCCATCTTCTGTCTTGGCTATGCAAGCAATGTGATTGTAGCATCTGTTACCACATTCATCACCCGAGTTGATTTAGCCATTCTGGCTGCTCGCACCATCTGACACTTAGTCTGTGACACTTAACCTTCAGATAGAGATCCCTAGTGGATGGTGACATTTTCATGGATTAACTGAACCTTTTACCCTTTATCTCAATGCTTTTATACTCTCAGACACAGCCTTGGTTGCTCTGTATTTACTAGGTTTTTATTTTGTACTTATACAATTGGGTGTTGACAAATAACACATCAACTCAGTGTTACCTTGAAAATAAATCATATCAGAATGTCACTAAGTGGCTTTCTGATGAATTTGGTTAATAATAATTAAGCTAGGTGATCATTTAAGATCTAGTCATCATTGGTCTTTACTCTATGTTTGATTTAAATGCTATTAACTCAGAATAACAGCTTTGCGTTCAGTGTAGTGATACGAAACATTAGGCCCGAAGTCAAAATGGGTTTAAGTTGTAGCTTTACAATGAGCTGGTCACATGCCCTTTATCCAGGTAATTTTTTTTTTTTTTTGAAAACTTGGTTGTTTCATCTGAAAAACGATGGACAGGAAGAGTTGGACCAGACGGCTTCTACCATCTCTCCTACCTTGAAGTTCCATGAGAATTCAACATTTCTTAGCTCTCTTTATCAATCACAAAGTCCAAAATTCAAAAGTACTTCCTTCATAGAAGAAGCATGTTCATCATGTTGCCTACCATATTACTATACATAATTACAATAGTTGTCTATTTTTGTGTAATAAATCATCACAGATGTAGCAGCTTCAAACAACACATCAACACATATTTATTATCTCACAGTTTCTGTAGGTCAGAAGCCTGGGCCTGTCTTAGCTGGGTTCTTGTTCTGGGTTTCACAAGGTTGCAATTGTGGTACCATATGGGCTGTGCTTTCCTCTGGAGGGTCAACTGGGAAAGAATCCACACTGAAGTTTATTCAGGTTTTTGGCAAAATTTATTTTATTACAGAGTGTGACTGAAGGTCTCAGCTTTTTTCTGACTCTTGGCTAGAGGCTGCCCTCAGGTCTTAGAGGAACTGCAGTTTCTGTCATGTAGGCTTTTCCAACACGACCACTGCTATGGCTTGAATGTTTTTCGCCTCTAAAACTTAAGTTGAAATAATCTTCAACATGGCAGTATTGAGAGGTGGAGTCTTTAAAGAGATGATTGTGACTTGAGGACTTTACCCTCATGAATGGATTAATGGATTAATTGGTTATTATGGGAATTGAACTGGTGGCTTTATAAGAATAAGATAGAGACCTGAGCTAGCATGCTCAGCCCCCTTGCCATGAAATGTCCTGTGCTGCTTCAGGACTCTACAGAGAGTCCAACCCAGCAAGAAGGCTCTCGCCAGGTGTATCCCCTTGATCTTGGTCTTCTCAGTCTTCATAGCTGTAAAATAAATTCCTATTTTGTATAAATTACCCAGTTTAAGGTATTCTGTTATAAGCACAGAAAATGGAACAAGACAACCACTTACTTCAAGCCCACGAAGAGAGTATCTAGTGCCAGTCTCCTAAAAGGAAATCTTCTAAAGCATAACATAATATTGGCGGTGACATCTGTCATGACCTTTGCCACATAATGTACCATAATTGGAGGAGTGACATCTCATCACATTTGCTATATGATATTGGGAGGAAGCAAATCAAAACTCCTGCCCACACTCAAGGGAAGAGAATTCCATAAAGGTATGAACAACAACGGGCAGAAATCACTGGGGTCACCTTTGCTTCTATCCACCACAATAGTATTAATAATAGGTACAATGTCTGAACCTTCACTTTGTTATAGCGATTACTAAGTCTTTACAATCGTTGCTAATTTAATCTTGACAAACATATATGTGATACTATTAATATCTTTATCTATGCAAAAATCGTCTCAAAGAGGATCAGTAACTCTCCCAAAGTAACCCAGAATAAGAATTCTTTTTTATATTTCTGTTTGAGTTTTCAAAACTTTCATGGAAATTGCATATATTCTCCTAGCCATTTCATATACAGTTAAGGAAGCCAACACTTACGCAGTCAAGTTTGACTTTCCTTTCATTGTCTTAATAGCTAAGCTCTACTAGAAACATTAGATAGATGAGAAAGTAGCATACATCTTTTTAAATCATCAAAGTATCATTTATACATATAGATATGAGGGGCATGCTCTCATTGGGAAGGTGGGAGGGGGCTTGAGAGCTCATGTGCTGCTCTGTGTAAGTGTTTCTATGACAAATTTTAGTATAGTTGCAACAGAATGTAGGGAGAGATGGTGAAAACTCATGATATTGTCTGTTGGAGCTATTTATCTCTGGTGCACCATGAACATTTGGACAATTTGCTTTTAACAGCTCTGGGCACCATGTTAGACAACTCTTTTGCCTGCCTGAGGATTTGGTCTCCATTTGCTCTTGCAGAACTTTGCTAGTGTGTCATGGTACAGGAGATGTTATTAAGTGTGGAACCATTGGTAATCTACACTTGCCTTTCCTCTGGGATTTTTTAGGCTCAATCTTTCTGGCTCTCTGCACTTGTGGATGAATGTGTCTCCAACACAAATCTGATTGTAAGTAGCATTGCCTTTCAATCAGGAGTTAGCTGGGCACATGGGAAAGTTAAAAGGAGGATGTAACGAGCTTTCCTCAGCTCTCCCTACCAAGGCAGTACATGCAGCTAGAATCAGATTCATCAATACCAATGAGAAATATTGGGTTTAGTCTATTTTTCAATTCACTTAGCTTATTTTTTTTTAATAAAAGGTTTATCTTTGTCACATGGTATGTCTGTCATGATTAATCAGATATATTGAATGGGCAAATGGTTTAATAGTTATTGCAATTTGTCACATCAGACATGGCTTATCATGCATTATTAATACTTAAATATAAAATTATTTAAACTGGGTCTGGCTTCTGTTCAAGATAGTTGTGTGTTAGAGGTAGCAAGTTTGAAAGAACGCTCAAAGGGATGGTTTAACCAATCTTACCTTATCCTTTCCTTTTCAGTATCAGGATATCCTCATATGATAATTAAATTGAGGAAATCTTTATTCAGCAGGAGGGCAAACAGCCATCCCATTGAGAGGCGAATGTTTCAGACTTCATTAACATGGCGACCTAACAGGTCATATAATCTAGAAAAGTGCAGTTCTTTTTTTCCTAAAGCAAGATGGAAGTTCGAGATGTATTTATTTTTAGTGTATTTTATTTGCAAATGCTAAAATGTATTTATTTTGGCACTTGCACTCTTTTTCTAAATTCAGTAAACATACAGTTATATCTTTAAACATAGAGAACAAACTTTGATAGCTGCTTCAGAACTAGATATAATTACAAAACAAATAGGAGTCATGTTCATTTCTACATGTTATTGTCTGCATGTTAGTGTCTACAAAAGAGCAACAGTTTACTTTGAGGAGTATGTGGAGATCAGATCTTTTCTGTTTCTACTCAGTCAAGAAAGGGCTTCAGTCTTGTATGTTTATCATTAACACCTACTTGGTTGATTTCTCAGGTGTTTATTCTAACAAAAGAGAGAGGAGCTTATCTCAAGATAATACAAACTTAATTTAGGGCAGTCGTTGCTGCCTCATATTTGTAAGTCAAATATGACTTCTATTCCAACTGCTTACATCAGTCCATTCTAAAGAGATGCCCATCTCTAGCTAGGAAGGGTCCTAGTGGTCAGTAGTTCCAATAATCACTTAGAATATTAACTTCAAACTCCAGCCCATTTTAAACAGACCAGTTTTATACTGTTCATATCTCTTGAAAACTGAATTATTACATATATTATCATGAACAGTTGTATTCCCATATAATTATCTTGCAAAATCAGTTCCTAAGATATTCATCAGTATATGTTCGCTGACCATTTTTTTCCCTTCGATTCGTATTGAAAACTCATTATACAATTAGAGTCCTGCTAGGTACAGTTCAGTATATGTTCGCTGACCATTTTTTCCCTTCGATTCGTGTTGAAAACTCATTATACAATTAGAGTCCTACTAGGTACAGTGAGATATTAAGAATTATCAAGTGTGAGCCAAGTCTGTAGAGAAATCACAATATACTTGAAAAGGTTAAAATATCCAGATAGTATAAACTTATAGTTTGGGACATGTTCATACTATGTTCTTTAGAAATTTGGAGGTGATGGGCGAAGGCTGAGAATGTCGGCTAAGGGCTAAGAATGTCAGCTAAGCCCTTATGAAAGAGTTTGAATTTGAGCATGGACAGGAAGATGACTGGGATTTAGATGGATGAAGGGTCAAGAAAGAGAATACTAAGTAAGAAGAACGTGATGAAAGGCTTTTGGCTATAAATATGATATATGTTGCAGAACATGAGAATATTAACTTGATTTGTTTAGAAGAAAGTGGCCTCAGGTGGATAGGATTAGGTGAGATGTCAGAAGACTTTTGAAAAGTTTAGACAAAGTTAGATTTTATGTGCCAATTGATTAGGAACTCCCGAAAATTCTCTTTGCCTCCAGAAAGTCGGCATGTTGCAAGTAGGTATTCACCCAGCAGCAGTATATAAGGAGTCAATTTTGAGACATAAACTCATGTTTGTGCCCACTTGACACATGGGTTCTAGGCTTAACAGCATGAGGTGTCCCTTTTTAAAGTACCTCTCTGATATATATGGGCCATTAACATGGTTAAGAACTTCTTATATTCTGTGAAAAAGATGTTGAATCATGATAGGTTAGTACAAGCAATAATTACTGAGTATTTGCAAATCTATCAGGAGTCTTAGAGGTTTCTTGTTCATTTCAGGATAAATATAAAAATAGGAAAACAATATTTTTTTTACCTGAATCTTTTCAAAATTTATCTCTAAAACTCGAAAAGGTCATATATTATGCCCTCTTGTCAATAAAGCCTAGAAATACCTTGGCCACAATGTTTTGTACATGATCACTACTGATTGGGCTTGCCTCAGTTTTAGACCTGATACATTCTTTGTGAATTACCATAAGCAAAAGTGAAATGACTCTCCGGAAGTTATGTCAGCAAAATACATTTGCTATTTAATATGGTAGATTTTATGTCAGAAAGCAACTGGATTATCTTCTTTATGATATATTCTCAATGTACTTCACTTTGCTTGTAATGATGATATAGAAAATAATATCCACAGCATATATATTCACATTTTCAAGTAGTATTTCTAAGCCTTTGATATATGCAGTCAGTCATTCCTTCTTTATGACTTGTATAAATTCACATTCAGTGTTCTTCATGTGATATTTTCATGGCTAGAATACTCCACCTCATATATGATAGTAGCTTTCCCAATGAGATTTTGTTTTCTATAGAAGAATTCCTTTCAGGAAGAATTATTTTTTATTCAGCCAGAAACCTATATAATTTTGGATTAAATTCCCAAGGAAAAATAATTGAGTAAGCCTAGCTAATGTTAGTAGTGTTATTTTAATCCCATGGAAACTTTTTAGTGATGTAAAATATTTATATCATTTAGTGGCTATTCTGCTGTTATTGCTCAATTTTAAAAGATTTGCTTAAATTAATAGTAGAACCATAGAGAGTTAGAAGCAGCGTTAGGCTTCATTTTTTCCAGGGTTCCCTGACAGGTGAGAAGCACCACAAAATGTCTGATGTGCATTTTATTTAATTCTGTTGACATATGCAAATGTCTTTAGGATAGATATAATGATGTGACCAGTTTACCTCTGTCCTGAACACTTCCTGCTACATTTACCTAGCTGTTTCACACCTTGATGTCACCTTCTGAAGGCATTTGTGTCTGTATCTCTGTATAGATTCTCCTCTTTGTTTAAGTGATTAAAAAAATATTAGGCTAAGAGTGGGTGAAAGATCTCCAAAGTAATTTCTGAAATCTAAAAATATGGAGTCTCTTCTTGGCTCAGAAAATATCTAGGATGACAATTTAACATACTTTTCACTAAACTATAATTTACTTGGTATTTTCTATGTGCATAATTCATTGCCATCCATTGCCAATTTATATAAAGAGAAAACTTCAGAAAGTTGAATTTTATTAACATTGCACCTGTGATCTAAATTTAAAAAAGATCTTGAGGAGGATGCAAAATGTTTGAATGAATCATTTCTTTTTGTTATTTTAAAAAATATGTTACTATGTATAAAACCTCAGTACTACCTGGAGTTTCTTTAAGTGAAAAATTCTACTCACCTGTCATCACACCTGGAGGTACTGGATGGAATGCTCTGAGGGATTCCTGAGATGCCTGGCGTTTGTTTGGCTTGTGTGTTTGGACCTAGGACCATTAGAACGGGAAGCTTCTGATACTTGCAACTCCTTAAAAGGACTATGCCTTTTAGAGTGTGCCTAGGAGTTGTTTTTCCTCTGAGCTGCCTTATTTTTGAGAAATTCTAATTCCTTTTCAAGGGGAAGCTTTGAAGGAATGTGTGTGTGTGTGTGTGTGTGTGTGTGTGTGTGTGTGAGATTGTGGCTAGTTCACACTGGAAGCACGGGGAACAGACTAGCAGAGAAAAACAGAGACAGCCTGAGCCACAGGAGAGATGAGTTTTCAATCCTAGTCGTACAATGTCTTCAGAAAAGTGGGCGTAGGATTATGCTGTCCGCTATTCATTCTGACCAACAGATACTGTTCTCTCTTACTTCCCACACCAATAAATCATTTGAATGCAAAAGCAAAAAAAAAAAAAAAAAAAAAAAAATGCTCCTCAGTGCTAAGAAAAGTGAGATGGTAAGAAGACAATGAGGCGTTGGGAAAGACATTGGTTCCCGAAATTGGATTCTAGGCAAGCAGTGCCAGGATGGAAGACTTTTATTTAATTTTATAGAAAAATGTTCGGGTTATTTTACACTGAGATGTGAAATCTCATTTGCAGCTAAGCCCCGGAGGGAGTGAAAGGAACTAGGAGAGCTCATAAAGACAAACGTAATAGGATTAATAAGAAAAAGGCCGAAGACATAAGCCTTTATTGTAGGAACTCAGTGCTAAATTTTAGCATTGATGAAGGGTGAAATGTCGATATTTATCCAAACAGTTGTGCCTTCAGGGTGCAACAACTAAAGGATGATGCCTTCATAGACTCATGCTCCTTGGGTAGGTTATATGCTCTTCTCAAAAAAGGGGGCCACTCAGATAGAACAAGGAAAGAACATCACTGGGTGGCAGCAAATCCTTAACCCCTCATTCACATAAATAATTCTCAGAATGTATTTTATATAATTAAAGCAAGTTTAGGGTTGAATAATAATACATTGAATTAGGGATTGGAAAATCATTTGATAATCAAGGGTCTGAATGTTAAATTATTTGTTTATATATTTACAGTTTGAATAATACCAAATAGGCTTCTTAATCTAGAGAGTCCATTCATATGAGACTTCCAAGTCACTCATGAATATGATTAGAATATAAGGTGGTAATCAAATTGTTTTCTCCCTAGTTGGTTCATTTTTTTTCTTTTATAAAGATTGATTGCCACAAAATAATTTAGGCTGAAAACGTGGCTGCTGAGGCAACTTAAATAACTGTACCAAAGGGAACATCTTCTAGTTACTTCAACTGCACGTTGGTACCTATTGTCGGGGTAGTATTTGAAGCACCTATTTTGTAACGGGATAATGATGATGTTGACTTTAGGCCGAAAAAAAGTCAGGTGCTGGTGTTTTTAATCCCCAAAGGGCTTTATTAATTTTTCTAATTTATGGTGTGGAACTGATTTTTTTCACTATTATTGTCCTAATAAAATAAGTGTATTTTTAAAGTGTTGTTTTTAATGCAATATTAATGCTAACAATTGATAGATGTATAGCTGTCAGGTGAAATAGTTTGAGCATTGTATACATGATAGATAGTCACACAACTATGGTTTAAAAATAGTGCTGGGCATGAGAGGACACTTCTCGTCTATTCCTAGCATCCTTGTCTATTTACCCTTTAGGTTTCGTATTTATAATAATAGATATATACTATGATTACAGAAATATAAAATATATGTCGATATATATAAATTCTAGAAAATGGAAATGTACACTTTGGTTTAAGGCAGTAACATATGTAGGAAGCTTTTTAAATTTACATATTTTTAAAATGTAAACATTTAGAAGTTTGTTTTTGATAATCTGATAAAAATATCAATTCCTCCATATGTGTAAGTAACACCAATATATTCCCCTCCTTTTGTGAGGTTATCTTCATCAGGTAGTGCCAATTAGGATAGCCAAATCTTTTTTCCCTGTTTAATTCAACAATGCATTTCTGACCAAGAAACTTATATGTGAATGTAAGAATACCTTCTTTTAATGTATAACAGCTTTCTTCAAAGAGCAGTGCCTGGTCCTGATGTGTCTATTGACAAGATAGTTTTGCAAAGGTGACACAGATTTTAATTTAGTTAATAGGAGTTCCCTTTCATAAGGCTCTGAGGTATAAAATAGAGTTCTTTTTGAGAAAGGTGGGCACTAAATTTTTAAAATCAATTTAGAGGAGTTCACTGAGGAAGAGATTACCCTTATGGATCACATTTCCCAAGTCTATATTCATTGTGGCTATCATTGTCATCCTGGTTATTTTTGTTGTCATCACCATTATCATGTTCGGCAACATCACTATCTTCAGATCTTAGATCTCCTGATTAAAAATG
Source organism: Homo sapiens (assembly GCF_000001405.40). Taxonomy (NCBI): domain Eukaryota; kingdom Metazoa; phylum Chordata; class Mammalia; order Primates; family Hominidae; genus Homo; species Homo sapiens. The sequence goes on along the minus strand of NC_000003.12, from coordinate 117,799,659 downwards.
TTCCCCATGTACATAGCCAAATCTATTAGGACCAAAATATTCAGTTTGGCTGTTCCTCGTGAAGCTGTTTGGCCTCACATGCAGATGCTGGCTCCAATATTTTGAGCATCCACCATGTGGCTTGGTTCTAAAGATGAATCTCAGCCAATGTGAAGTACTGAATGTTCTGGCTCCATCATATTAACACACACATAGCTTATAGTCTTGATTTTACAACTTTACTCACTGGCTCATACTTCTTGAAGATATAAAAGTGAGATATGGCCAAAATTTGTCCATTTTTATTTGAGTGGGTCATCGATAGAGCCGTGCAAATGACAAGGTCCCTTAAACACCAGCCCCACTGGTGGCTGGGCTGCCTTAATGAGCCAATTGGAAAAACTACATCCAATTCAAATGGGGACACAGGGATGAGGGCTAGACTCTTGCCAAATCATGTTACTCCCAGCTCTCCAATTTTGTTGCATTTTTATTTGAACTTCCTCTTCAACACTCAACACTGATTACTCAGTGCATTTCTCCTGGAAATGCTTTTTCTCTGTCCCTTTATGAGTAAAACAATAAAATCCTTTGATCTTTTCTTTTTCTTCTGCCTTTTTCTCAACACTTTGGGACTCTTGCATTAACAGTTCTAGGGAGAGAATGGCGCTTTTCTTATTTGTATAAAGGACTCATTGGGAAATGGATGATAGGCCTGGTGACAAGCAAGAGAAAATGCAATTGGGTGCCTGAAGGAAGGAGTGACTATCTACCCTCATCCATCACCACTGATTAGCTGCAGTGTGAGAGAGGCAGAGACAGAGACAGAGAGAGATCGGAAAAAACAAATGGATTCTGGAGAGAGGCTGGGCTTCGCTGCCTGTTTTTTGTGGCTCATCAATCATCTCCGGTGTGGCTGATAGGTGGCTCTGTCACTCCTACCACCATCCCACCCACCAGAAAATCTGTAACTGTGACAGGCATTCCTCTGTCCACAGTCCTTTCAGTAGCAATAGAAGATTCAGCCCCTGCACAAAATGTCTGAGATTCAGTGTCTTATTGTCTGATGTTTCTATTCTGAGTTACCTTAGGAGAGTGTGTTAATATGATTCCCATCCATTTGCTCAGGCTGTGGCCTTGCCAGTCCCACCTTGCGGTGAATGTTGGCAGCATGCTTGTCATGTTTATTGTGCAAGCACAATGAGAGGCCGACATTACATAAAACATTTACAGGAGGTGGGGTAGGGGTTGGGAGGGTCCATAAAGCTGTTGAAGCCATCCAAGTGTGAAATGGAAAGATGAAGAAAGTGTTTTCCCCAAAGCCATTTGTATCTGTCATCTGTTCTGGGTCTCACTTCTAATGTGTCTCCTGTTCAGTCCCTTCCTCCCACCTTTGCTGCTTAGGCTTTATCTTCCTCTGGGAAAACGATATCTGGAGAGGCACAGTTGTAAAGAGAGTGGCATCTTTGTATATAACAGAAACTTTTGTAGCAAAGTGTTCTGTTGACATTGTACACTCTCCAAGGAATGTACTGGCTTGTCACTCATTTGAGCATGAACATGTGAGTGGTTACCAAATCGCATGGTTTATCTTTTGAAATGTGTATGAGAGAGAACATGTATGCTTCTGTTCTATCCTGGCTATGTTTGCTATGAAGGAAAGTCACAGCACTTCATACCACTCTGTAAAGACACTATTAGTTTTCTTCACTCTGATCCTTGGTTCAGTTTCCATTTTTCTCTAAATTATAGACAACAGACACCTTAATCTCACAGATTGATACGAATTCTCAATCTGGACAGGCTGACTCTTGAGTGTTGATTAGCTGTTTGTGTCTTTTGCATTTGTCCTCACAGAGAATTTTTCCTACTGAACAAGACATGGATGAGCTTCAGTGAGGAGGAAGGAGAGGTACTAACACTCTGTGTTTCTATTAGTCAGACAATGACTAATAGGATTTCCATTTATTTTCTTTTGATCCTTGCAGGATCGATGTGAATTGGGCATCACTAATCTATCTTGTACATATAGAAAGTGAATCCTGGACATGAACTAAAGAGACTGCAAATGGTCTCTTCTTTTCCTGTTTTACCTACTGACTTTTCTGCTATACAATGATGCCTTGATTGTCTACTATTCCCTTGGGGTCCTCAAGCATGATGTGCCCATAGTAATGCTCAGCTATCCCTTTGGAAGACATTCAACAACTCATGTCTTTTGGGTGCTTCTTCAGGAACTTCAGATTTAACCCTCAACCTCCTCTCAGCTCAAGTAATTAGAAGATAAGATGATAAAATAGTAAGAATACAGCTTAAATGAATAAACTAGAATATATACATAGAACTGATTAGTATAGATTCTTATGTTATTATTCTAATAATATTATTATTACTCATATTATGAAAATTCTTTTTTGGGGGAATAGAATTATTTTAAGAATCACAAAGAAAACTTATTATTTTAAAAGCATCCTTTATTTTTCTATCCAAATAGTGTTACCCAACTTGATCACTCTCAGTTTATTCAAGACTTGATTCAAAATCACATTTTTCTCATTGTAAGAACATTCTGTATATGAAAGTTGGAGAGTTCTGGGGTTTATAGCCTGGTCAACCATTTACCAGTTGTTTATTCTTGTGTCCCTTGGTTAATATCTCGGATTCCCAGTTTTCTCAGCGGCAAAATGGGAATAGTGATATCCAGGTTTTTATAAATACTAAAATGTTAAATTATGATCAATACCTATTTAGCACTTAGCATAATAACTAATATATCATAGGGGTTAAATAAAGACATGATACTTTATTTACTTTAAAAATATGATTTTTAAAAATCACTAAAATTTCCAAAGAATGTCTACTAAATTATTTAAGTCAATATCAAAAGAGAAATGTAAAATTGTCTAATTACTTGTATAATGATATAACATGAGCATATTATAAAGGAGTATGATTTGGTTAGGCAGATATGTGCTTTGTTAAAAATTCAGTTCTGTTATTTATAGCCAATTAGACTCACAAAGCATATGCTGGGTGGGGATTAAAGAAGAATGGTTCACTAAAGTTATGGTCTGTCAATACATTTAGAGTAAGATTGACTAGAAAATTTGAGAACATATAAGCAAAGAACATGAGAATGAAAAGTGTATATAATTATTATTTACTATTGCTTTGTGCATTTTCACAGTTTTATAATCAGTGTATCCATTTTTAAATGGAAAACCCTTGAAGGGAAGTAACATTTATTTGTATGCATAGTGGCTTGCATGGAGCACACTGTGGCTGTATTTGAGTAAAACTTCTATTCTGGCCACTCATCTGAATCAATGTCTTTCTGTGGTTATCTTTAAAGATGTCTGGCTATGTTAATCCTTTCAACAACCATGCTAGATTAATGGACAAGTAATTAAATTAATGCACACTCTTCTTGCCTACCGTCATTAGGAAATAGGGGGTAATTCTAACCTCTGCCCACATATTTCTTAGTGAATGCACCTGCTTTAAGGAAGCCCAATATAAAACCCCTTACATTTGCAAGCAAATCAAGGGCCAATGTTTATTTTCTAAAAGGATGTCCATATGGTGTTTAGAATGAATACTTCTAGGAATACAGTAACAGTGTTGAAGTGAGAAATGCTTGTGTTTTTAAGCTGCATCATCATACCAGCCATTGTTACACATCTCTGTGGCACTAACTCCTAATCTACACACCATAATTTTTTTCACCCTTCTACTCTGAAATGATATATTTTAAAATCAGTGTAATTGGCATATATAGGTGTATACTTGGTTTCTCATAGGAATTTTATTTCTCCGATTGGAGGGGCAAAATAAGCTAGCAGAAAAATGCCTTTCACAGATTGAGGCCAGTAAAGAGGACATCTGTCCCTATGGGTTTGGTTACCCTGCCTGAAACTGTGCTAGAATTGGGAGCTGTCGTGTGCATCTTTAGAAAGTGCAGTATTGATGGGCGCCAAGAACTCATTCCTTACTCAACTTTACCTACTTACTTGGAGCCATCATGGGGTTGTCAAGAGGTATCATACCAAGAGGCACAGGAAAATAAAATCCTTGATTCTGGATTAACCCAGGAACCAAGAGAAGGTGACAGTTGACTGCAGTTGAGCTGTGCATGTCTGTATACCGGGACCACTGGAAACTTTAAAATCATATATGTGACTCATGTGTGGTCTGAATTACACTTATTTTTGGTCAGTACTATTCAGAGTCAGACCAACTTAGATTCAAATACAGCTTCTGCCATTTACTAGTGAATTTAGGCAAAACTTAAAAATAAGGGCATCAGTTTCCACTATATGACAAAAAAGAAGGATAAATTCATATAAGACATTTTGAGAATTGAGATAAAATAAAATATGAACCCAGCAGGTGCCTGGAAAGAAAGACAACATTCAGTGAATGTTAGCTCCTTCTCACATCCATTCCCTTCATACATACTTTTATGAATATGGATAAGAATAGATATATTATACGTGTGTGTATCTTAGTCTTTGGGGACAACCAGAATGCTGTTTTTAAAAATCCTGTTCTTGGTGGGGTGTGGTAGCTCACGCCTGCGATCCCAGCACTTTGGGAGGCAAAGGCGGGTGGATCACTTGAGGTCAGAGTTCAAGACCAGCCTGGCCAACATGGTAAAATCCCATCTCTATCAAATGATACAAAAATTAGCTGGGCGTTGTGGTGCACACTTGTAGTCCTAGCTACTCTGGAGGCTGAGGTGGGAGAATCGCTGAGCCTGGGAGGCAGAGGTTGCGGTGAGTTGAGGTCGTGCCACTGCACTTCAGCCTGGGCAACAGAGTGAGACCCTGTCTCAAAATAAATAAATAAATAAATAATAAAATAAAAATCCTGTTCGTTTAAAGCGCTCCTTCAAATACAGGCTGTCACTCAATAGTTGTATAATTTGGGGTAATGTATATGTATATACTATTAAGTGGTAAATAACACCTATCTCCCAGAGTTGTTCTATGAATTAGAAATGATCCTTGTAAAACACCTAGCATATTACCTAACCTAACATTGGTACTTAATATATTGCATATACTGTCATCATTTATGTCATTATCGTTAACAAGCATCATCATTATCACCATTATCATCATCACTAAACAAAGCAGGTGGTAACTACATATATATAATATATATATGTAGCTCCCTGTTCCTTTTTGCTGTCTGATTTACAGGGAAGACAGTTTAATTCCACTACAACCTTAATTTGCCTACACATAAATGAGGTGATACCTTTAAGAGGCAAAATGAGTGTGTCGGCTGAGTAGCATTCACATGGTGGGCGTTTTAATCAAGGTCACTTCCTAGGCTTCTGTGTATTTTTTCTCCATTATTTGGTAGCAAAACTCCTGATCTATTCTTCTATGCTGTTGTGAAATTCCTCTGTCGAATCCTTTCCTCTTGTTTCCTTTCTCTCTCTCCTCTTAGATTGTCTTTGCCATATTTCCACATTCCTCTTTCCCAAGCTGACACCTTTCCCTCTCCCTTTTAAGTGTTCAGCGCATAGAACAAACACATTTGCCTCTGGTCTTCCAGGTAGCTAATTAACATAGCATGTTCTAAGGCTGTGTGTGTGTGTGTGTGTCTGTGTCTGTGTCTGTGTGTGTGTGTGTGTGTTTTACTTATGACGTGCTATTGTTTTTCCTGGATCTGACTTGGCAACTATATTTATTTGAAAAAAAAAATGTGTGGTATGATTTGCTTTTCTAATTTTCAGAGAGAGCTCTTTTGGTTACACGGGGGTCGGCTTTTCCAGTGGCTGGTGCCAGCAAGCTGGGACTGCACACAGAGCTCTGTGCTAGGCAAGGAAATCCTTCATTAGGCTTGTATTCCATGAAGGCACTTTTGCTTCTTAACGCCTGTGATTTTAATTAAAGCTTGGAAAGTAAAGAATCTTCTAGTTGTATTAATGCTTTCATTTCCATTAGGACAGTATAGTTTATAAACACTATCCGGGTTTATAAATTAGTCCTCATGCGAATAATAAGTACACAATGTCACATAGAAAGCAAAACTCTGCCAGCCCATCTGTTCTCTCACTCTTTTTTCTTCGATTGTTGTTTTCCTCTTTGGAGACTTGTGGAGGAATGGTCCTTGATTTCTTTTATCTCTATCTATCATTCATATCCTTTAACCATGTCTCGTAGGACTGCATATGCTAAAACCAGATTTTATTCTGAGTTGATAGAAGGGGACATTGGTGGTTCATTTGTATGTAAATCTAAAGTAAAAATAAATAAAAATTCAGCCATTAAATTCACTTGGGGGACAGAATTTTCTATTTCTATAAATCTTGATTTTTTAGAACATTTAAGCTTTTCAGAATACAAAACTGTATATGTATACACACACACACACACATACAAATGCATACACATGTGTTTATATTTCTAAAGTAGAGAGGTTACCAGACACAATTATTTTATATACAGTGCTTAATTAATGGATTATCATTCTCCTTCATATGCATCAAGAAATGTAACCAGATAAACAATTATGGAATTACAGTCAAGAGTCTGACAAAAATACATAAAATTAGTATTATATGAAATGTCTGTTTATGCAAAAGCAAATGATCAATATTATCAATTTCAGTAAAAGCTTTTAATTAGAGAAAATTTTATAGGGGACAAAATGAACCAGGAACTGGGCATAAGTCAGTTCTATAGACATATTGGTCTCTAGAATCCTTTTTGAAAGTAGGGCAGTATAAATTATAGAGAAATGTAGACATATTTAAAGAAGTGAGTATTCTATGGGGAGTAATAAACCCCTAGAACTACTTTTTATTGATTAGAGACTTAGGTGGCTTCCATTCCGTAAGCACTCAGGAGTCTGACTGCTTCCAGAGCTTGGAAGAATTGGCTTTAAGGGTGTATATACTTTCTGCAGGTACTTGCTGAGAACTCAGCCTTGTGTAGGCTATGGGACTCTTTGGTTGAGATAATTTTCAACTGCAGTTTGTGTCTTGTCTATCTGAAGTAACTGGATGACACAAAGAAGTGCCCCTTTTGTGAGTGTCATGGCATCTGAGTACCCACATGGGTTATGGGTGTCACATGCGGGGGCAGGGTTCTCTCCTCTGAACAGGGTGTTGTGTGTCTGTCCAGCTCTTTTCGCATAGAGAGTTAAGGTCCAGGCTTATTTTATCTATGTCTCATAAACATAGGAGTATCATATGTGGGAGGGTCATTGGCACTATCTGCATATGGCACTCTCACAAACTGACAGACAGATCGGAACACTGCTAATAGGCACATCTGTGGTGAAATGCGCCAAAAATCAACATGTTTCCTCATAACAAAATATGCATAGCACAACAAACATATGTATGGCAGTGTGATTTAAAAACCCTACAAGTTACCATAAATACAAAATACCAAATTATAATATTATATACCTTTATTATCAGAAAACTTAAGTGAAACGTTTAGTCACCGAAGAATAAATATCTTAGACATACTAAAAACGTCCTTTGCAATCTTGATTCAACATTTTGCTACGTTCTCTTAGCTTTCTTCCACCAATTTTTCTTGGTTTCTCCTGAATATGAGTATCCATAAAAGCAATAGTAATAATACTTTATACATTGATATTCTATAGCACCTTAATTTACAAAGAGTTTTTTTTCACATACATTATCTATTTTTCAGCAATCTTATCTGGCTAATGAGTAAGTTTGTGTGTGTGTGTGTGTGTGTGTGTGTGTGTATGTGTGTGTGACTATATGTGAAAGATGAGACTTTATTTACTGGGCCTAACAACAAGTTCATCTAAAGTTCCTAAAAAATAATGTTGTGTGGTTTAAGTATCTTATTCTTCTATTTGCTTCTTTGAAAAACATGCCTATGTATCACCTGATTTTCAGTTTTTGAAACGCATTGACCCAGGGATCATTATCCTATTGTACCTACCCCACTGTCTCCATGTTTGTGAGTTACAATTTTCCTCATAAGGGAATTTATTATTAAAGGATATAAAAGACATTTTAGTCACATGATAGTAAGACTATTGATACTATAATTATCTATGTCTTCAAGAATCTCCCAGTCAATAGGATCTCTTTTTCTGAGCCTGGTTCTGAACAAGTTGAGAATAAAGTGAAGGAAAAATGGAGGCCAAAATGTCATCTTAGTACTGATAATGACTAATTTATTTGTTGCATTTTGAGGTCTGTTAGGATGTGGCTTTGCTAATACTGAACCCTTGACTTAGAAGTCTTACCACTCCTGGGAAAGGCAGCTCTGTCCCTGGGAAGGCTGCCCCAGAGCCTGCAAAGGTAGGTTCCTGCAGGACTCGTAGCAAGGAGAAGCTGAGGAGGCTGTGGTCTCAGTGGGAAGGCCCCTTCCCATAAGAAGGAAGAGTGAATCTGAGCCAACAGCATTATTCTTCCCAAATTTAACCATCAGGTGTGCTATACCAACTCCCCAGAGGAAATATGTAAAGGGATGGATAGAAACCAGGAGCGTGCTTAGGGAAAATATTCCCATATGGAAATGGGGAGCAGAGAAAAGGCATTCCTTTCTAATAATATATTTACCTAACTGATCATATAATCACAAAATAACTTGTAAGAATTGGGCCAAGGAAATATGGCAACGCCTCATTTAAAACAAATTTGGTAAATATTAAACAAGATCTGTTTCACGGGGGTATGCCGTATTTGGATTTGCAGAAGACTGGTTTGAATCAAAAGGAAGATGGGCCAGAGATTTAGTTTTTGGAGTGTGCATATAATTTTTGGTCTGTTATCAAGCCTTACTTTGATAAATGGATGTAAGCTAATCGCTAAATGCATACTTACCAGTGTCACTCAGACAGTGCTCAGCAGCTGTCTGTCCTATTTGTTAAACTGATTAGAATCTAAGACAAGTTCTTTGTGTCGAAGGCCTTGTAGCCCCTGCATGATCAAACAGGATTGAAGCCTGGGTGCAGAGAAGAGGGCAGATGGATTCTCATCTTCTATCTTATGGTCCTCAGCAAAGGAATGTTATTGAGATATCCTTCCAAGAAGTTTAAATAGAAGTGTCTGTTGGCAAAATGAAAACAAATGGAGAAGCCAGTGAGACCCACACAGGGGTCTCAGTTTCCTGCTGCCTGCAGCCCCTGTGGGAGAGGCAAGCTGGCACTTTTATTCAGAAGAATGCATCTCAGTCAGAGGCAGGAGCTGTCAGAATTAGCAGGGAGGAGGAGGTACTTTCCCCTGATAGCTTGCTAAGCTCCCTGGAATTCTCTGACATTGCTGAATCTGTTAGAGGCCAATATTCAGTCAGCTTAAGGAGATGGGCTTTTTGACTCCCCCAAGATTCTAAACTCATCAATTGGTCTAATCAGTGTATCTCCTTGGAAACACCATTGGGAACTCCACAAATGCAACAGTTCCATCCTTGTTGCTTTCTCTGACTATTCACATTCAAGAAGAATCTGCAGACAATGCATTCAACTGCTGGTTCCCTTCAGGCACTGTTTACTGGCACTTTCTTCTACCCTGTAGTTCTCAGTGCTACTCTCTGCTCAGGCCCACCATGGTTGTCCTCTTTTCTCATAGTTTTTTCTGGCCCTTCCTTCCAACCTCTCAGTAAAAGCAATACTAGAGACTGTCTGAATGATTTTTTTCTTAACATCTAGGGGGTTGAGAATGATGCCTGGCTCGCAACTTCCTGTATACTCTGTGGACACTGCTTGCTGGTCTCTAGAAGTGGGGTTAGTTTTATTGTCGAAACTGTTGTTTCAATAAATTTGTAACTGTACTCGAGAACAAGATGGAGATCAAGGAAGCATAGGTTGTATCCAGAGTGCAAAATGGTGCATCAAAGTGATGTTCCGAAGTTGCAAAAAGGAAGAAATTATTCCGCTGTATGAAAACTGGTGTATGAAAAAACTGATAGCCTCTGTTTCACCAAAGAACAGAAAATTAGCCTTGTTTCAGGTCAGGCTTAATTATCAGGGGGAAAATAAAGGAGTATGTTGACCTTCCACACTGAGAACTACATACTTGAATACCAGGACTTTTGTTAATATGCTTGCATGCTTAGGAAGGACATTAATAAAAGCAAAAATCTCTTATTTCCTGCAGCTTTGTCTCCCTTAGTGGCTAGTAAATTGCTGATTATTAAATTGATTAGAGAGGTTAGGCGAATAGAACTCTGGTTTTGCAGATCAGAATGTCATGTCAAGCATGTCATATTCCCCTGACTTACATGTGCAAATGTCACTCTACTTTGTCCCCAAATGATAGACAAAGATGTGAGACAAAGGGTGGGAGTATAGTATAGTATTGCTTTCTCATGGCACCTTTGGAAGCTAAGCAAAGTTTTCTACCGTAAGTGCCTAAAACTGATAGAAAACTAAGGGAAAAAAACTATGCTACGGGTACTCTGTGTTTTTCCCTACCCCTGAAAAAAAAATAGTTGTAAAGCCCTTCCACATATACTATCTCATTAGATTTTCGCAACAACTTTGTGAAGTAAGAACTGTTTTATTTTTTAATTTCTCTCTCTTCCTTTCCATGTTTGTAAAGTAGAGATCATAATATGAATTTCAGGGGCTTGTTTTGAAAAGGAAATGAGATTATATCAATCCCTTACTATGTGTTTCAGTTTGGGTTGTTCAAGAAGCAGAGACCTAAATGGAATAAATCGTTGTAGAGATTTACTGGGAAAAAAATACATGTGAAGAATTGAGGAGAAGACAGCAGAGAAGGTGAAAGGAGGCTTCAGATTGCAATGTAGGTCTGACATATGTGAGCAAAGGACCACACAGATAAAGGATTGGTTTGGAAGAGCTTCAGAGTGGGATTCTGAAAAAGACTCAATCCAAATAAAAAGTTGCCTGCTAGGTGTCTGCAATGGGAAGAAATAGGTCAGTTCTAATACCCTACTGAGTCATTGTCTGAGAACAGCCTGGAGGAAGCATGGCCCTAGTGCAAGCTCCCCGTGGATCCCAAAGGGTAGCCGCTGGAGGCTCTCATCCCACATGGCCTCTTGGCAGCAGATGCTCTTGAAGGGAGACCGTTGTGGAGTGGGGCATGTCCATGACCCTCACAGTACAGGTGCCTGGAATGTATTAAGCACTTGAAATGAGTTAACTATTATTATTCCCATTACACAGATAAGGAAGCTGTATATCCAATGGCAATGTGTGATTTGGCTAGGATTCTTTGTAACAGAGTCGAGGCTTAAACCTACATTTCTGCCTCTGGATCTTATGCTCTGTCAAGCACATCACACAGCTGCTCTTTAACAGCATGTACTTAATGCATTTCCTTCTGTGATGCTAATTCCACTGGGGACAATAAAACCTCCCCCTAAGTCCTTCAGGTTGTGTAGCCTTGCTGCCTCTGAGAGAGGCTTGGTCCATTCCTGTGGCTTCTTAGGCCCAGAATCTTGCCCTTAGCTCTCAGTAGCCCAATTCCTGGGATCTGAGCCAAGGCAAACTCCAAGGCTGAACCTCAGCTCCCAGAAAGGCCATGTCACTCTTGGCTTCAGCATTTAGAAGACAGCATGCAAAGCTTCTTTTTGTGTGGAGAAGGCTGTGGGTATTCTCTGGTGCCATGATACATTGGAATATCACTGCATGTCATTTTCACTTAAATCTCATAATCGTGTGCCAAATTCTTTTATGGCCTCTAATCTGTTTCTCAGTGAACAGATTTTAATTTTTCCTTTTTACCTAAAGAATATATATATATATATACACATGTGTGTGTATATATATATATATATATATACATGTGTGTGTGTATATATATATATACATGTGTGTGTATATATATATGTGTGTGTATATATATACGTATACACACACACACACACACACACACACATATATATATCTCCTTTAAAATGTGTGTGCTAGCAAGTTCTTTTAAATGTCTGAGGACAGGTTTATTGTACACATCTTTTTATCAATTTTCAGAGATGAGAATGTAACACAGCCACGTTCTAGCCAGTTTACAGCTTAGATTACAGCAGGCTAGTTTCTAATTGTCCTAACAGATTTCTGGCTTCATTATTAGTTCTTAAGCCAAGAGCACAAAAGAAGTACAATTTCTGGGTGTTGTCATGTTTAAATAATTACAATTTCCTACTTTTAAAAATAGAGTCAAGTATCCCTAAATTGAGGTATGATAAGTTAAATATGCCCATGTTTATACACAGAGACATACACAGGTACACTGGCATTTTTGACTCTGCAATATGAATGTGGAGACAAATATGAAAGAAGTCTAGAGCACATATAATCAGGCCTTTTGGTGGAAAATTGCAGTACCCTTGTGTTGGAATGAAACTTCTCAGGATTACAGTAGTAAAGACTAAAAGACAGATGATCCTTCCCTCATTTTTATAGATAGTCTGACCTAAAAGCTTCAATCCTATTACTATAATGTTCTTAATGACCTCCAAAGCTATTTAGAAACTTTTGGTCATCTCTAAGATCGCTGGCTAATAGGCAAGGTGTTTTCAGTTGAGCCTCTTAAATCTACCCTTGGAACAGGCTTTCTGAGAGTAGAAAATTGATTTGTTTGTTTATTTGTTCCCTGCTTGTCCAAAAAAGTATTTGAAGTAGTCAGGAGAAAGAAGTCACACTGTTCACCTGGCAAGATGTGCCCAACCAACAAAATCACTAAAGTATGGGTAAAGTGATGTTGCATGGACCCTAAAAGAAAAGTTCCAAAGAACAAGCCAGGCCACCTGGGAATTAGATCACTACCTAATGGTCAAATATGTATTTCCAGGTGTCTTTCCTCAGGCTTACCCAAGAAAGGCTTTAGAACTGAGACTGGGGTAGAATTCCAGTGGCAACAATTACCAATCATAATACAACAAAACGTTAAGTGGCCAACTTTAAACAGCACTATTTAGTGTTAATTAAATAGTTAAGATAGTTACTTAGAGCTCACTTTTAGGAATTTAACCTATATAATTTATTTATGTGATTTGTGCTTACTGAAGGAATTTTTTAAATTATTCGGAAGTCTAATCCCCTAAAATAGACTTGTCCTCTTCTCCCCAACTATGTTCCATATTTAGTCATCATTCTTAAAAATTACCATCACTTTATTTATTTTCACTGAGGATCTTAAAAGGTATGAGAATGGAATGCAAAATAGCTCAACCACAGATCATGTGACTGAGTTTAAATTACCCCGTGATTACCCAGAAGGATTTTAGAGTCACATTTAAATCTTCTTTTTTAGCTTCTTATTTTATATGCCAAAAAAGATAACATATGTTTATTTAGTCATTTGAGATTTTCAACTCATATAACAAAGTAGCAAATAAGACATCTGCAAAGGTGGATTTTACAAAAGGTAGATATTATACTTCGTATTTCACACAGGAGGAAATCAAAGCTCAGAGAGGTTAACTCACTCTTTCATGTTTAGCAAATGGAACTAGAACTTAACTATAACATCTATCTGGTGTCTCTATTGACTATAATACCAAAGTATTTTTTCTCATAATGCTATCTTTGTTCCCACCATAATTCATCCTACCTGTGGTAGCCAGAATGATATTTTTAAAAAGTAAACCAGGTAAAGTCATTCCCCTGCTACAAAGTCATCTAAAAGATTCCCGTTGCATGCAGAATACAATAAAAATCCTTGTCGTGACCTCACCATGACTATCCACGTGACCTCATCTTGTACCGCCCTCCTCCAATCTTACAAACTCAAGCCATGTGACTCTTTTATTCTCACCTGTATAGATTCTCATATTTGCTGTTTCTTCTGCCTGAAACTGTCCACTGTGAGATTTTTACATTGCTTCCTCCTCCTTGTCATTCGAGTCTCAGTTCAAATGTCATACATTTTTAGGGGTACATTTGTCAAATCAAATTTCCTTATGTATACCATATAAGAAATTATTGTTTTCATTTATTTGCTTACATGTCCATTTTATACCTCTTCTCAACAATCACACCCTGAAATATAAACCCAACAAAAATTCTTTGTGTCTTTTGTTCTTTGCTGTGTCCCCAACGTCTAGGACAGTACCTGAGAGTCTTCTACATTGTACTTAGTTTTGAAAGTGAACTTAAAAACTCAAAGTCTTTCTGCACATGTTCACAAAATCTTCAGACTTGAGTGAGAAAGTAAATATTGGTTTTTAAAATGAAGCATTAATGATATAATGCTAAGTGATAGTGTACAAAATTATATACAGTATGATTAGAAATATATGTGCAGAAACTGCAATGAAATAGACCAAATACTAACAATAATAACAAAATTTTTTTGCATATTGTGACATATTTTCTCAGTTGTCTACAGTGGACCTATTTCACTTAAATAATTGGAATAAAATTACTTTTAAAGCACAAAATAAAACTTAAAAGGAGAAAACTATTTCTCAGTACCAAAAGGATTGTTTTCTAAATTTATTCTGCTTTGCAATGTGTGCTAATACCAATATTCACCTGCTCTACAGGCCATATTGCCTCAATTCTTCCACAGTGTCTCAAGTGATGGGTTTGAAGTTTTCTCTTCAGAATGTAATTCACTTTATTTATATCTCTGCAACAACTCAGTAGTATGCATAATTCTCTAGAAATTCTGTAAATGATGTGGAATAAAGTAGAATTATGTTCTGCCACTTTCTGGATAATTCCTAGATGTTTATTGCTGCTTAAGTTTGCATCAGATTTTTTTGGCAACTCACATCATCAAATTAGAAATCTACTCCATAGGTTTCCCCCATAGGCACAGCTAGTATTGCTATACTCTCTCACCTCATAGTTGTATGTGTAGTTTTGTTTTTATTTGCCAATAAATCCTAACATCTATCTAAATATATTTCATTGGTTTAGATTTGTATCATTCTTCTAACATTTTGGGTTATTTTAAAACCCTATTCTATTACTCAGCCGATTCATTATTCCTGCCCCCAAATTCATGTTATGTACAAATGTGACATTCACTTAGTTGAATTGTGTTTTACTTTTTTTTTTTTTTTTTTTAGAGAAAGGCTCTTATACCATTGCCTGGGCTAGAGTGCAGTGACACAATCATAGCTCACTGCAGCCTTGAATTCCTGGGCTCAAGCAATCCTCCCAACTCAGCCTCCCATAGCACTTGGATTATAGGAAAGAGCCACTGCACCTGGCCTGAATTGTTTTGTAAAATGTTGAACAGGTTAAGTTGAAGAACAGAACTCAATTCGGAGCTTCTAAATCATGCTTAGTTAATACTGATTTGCCCGTCATTTGCATGCTGTGGTTGCCATTGATCAGTCAGTTACAAATCTAGCTACTATTACAATCCAGTCCATATATGTTGATTTTTAACAAGAAGGTGGTGGTGAGGATGGTAGGAAGTATCTTACTAAAATCTAGATAAATAAATACCTGCTATATTTCTCATGAATTTAAAATATTAATAATTATATGGAGAAAAAGGAGCTGCGAAAATTCTGAATTATTTGCAGTGATTCGTTGTATCTCTTAATGGCCATTGCATTATTTTCTAAGAATCAATATCAAAATTATTTTTTTATTCTTTTATGTTATTTATTTTTTTTATTATACTTTAAGTTTTAGAGTACATGTGCACAATGTGCAGGTTTGTTACATATGTATACATGTGCCATGTTGGTGTGCTGCACCCATTAACTCGTCATTTAACATTAGGTATATCTCCTAATGCTATCCCTCCCTGCTCCCCCCACCCCACAACAGGCCCCAGTGTGTGATGTTCCCCTTCCTGTGTCCAAGTGTTCTCATTGTTCAATTCCCACCTATGAGTGAGAACATGTGGTGTTTGGTTTTTTGTCCTTGCGATAGTTTGCTGAGAATGATAGTTTCCAGCTTCATCCATGTCCCTACAAAGGACATGAACTCATCATTTTTTAGGGCTGCATAGTATTCCATGGTGTCTATGTGCCATATTTTCTTAATCCAGTCTATCAGTTGGACATTTGGCTTGGTTCCAAGTCTTTGCTATTGTGAATAGTGCCGCAATAAACATACGTGTGCATGTGTCTTTATAGCAGCATGATTTATAATCCTTTGGGTATATACCCAGTAATGGGATGGCTGGGTCAAATGGTATTTCTAGTTCTAGATCCCTGAGGAATTGCCACACTGACTTCCACAATGGTTGAACTAGTTTACAGTCCCACCAACAGTGTAAAAGTGTTCCTATTTCTCCACATCCTCTCCAGCGCCTGTTGTTTCCTGACTTTTTAATGATCGCCATTCTAAATGATGTGAGATGGTATCTCATTGTGGTTTTGATTTGCATTTCTCTGATGGCCAGTGATGATGAGCATTTTTTCATGTGTCTTTTGCCTGCATAAATGTCTTCTTTTGAGAAGTGTCTGTTCATATCCTTTGCCCACTTTTTGATGGGGTTGTTTGTTTTTTTCTTGTAAATTTGTTTGAGTTCATTGTAGATTCTGGATATTAGCCCTTTGTCAGATGAGTAGATTGCAAAAATTTTCTCCCATTCTGTAGGTTGCCTGTTCACTCTGATGGTAGTTTCTTTTGCTGTGCAGAAGCTCTTTAGTTTAATTAGATCCCATTTGTCAATTTTTGTTTTTGTTGCCATTGCTTTTGATGTTTTAGACATGAAGTCCTTGCCCATGCCTATGTCCTGAATGCTATTGCCTAGGTTTTCTTCTAGGGTTTTTATAATTTTAGGTCTAACATGTAAGTCTTTAATGCATCTTGAATTAATTTTTGTATAAGATGTAAGGAAGGGATCCAGTTTCAGCTTTCTACATATGGCTAGCCAGTTTTCCCAGCACCATTTATTAAATAGGGAATCCTTTCCCCATTTCTTGTTTTTGCCAGGTTTGTCAAAGATCAGATAGTTGTAGGTATGCTGCATTTTTTCTGAGGGCTCTGTTCTGTTCCATTGGTCTATGTCTCTGTTTTGGTACAAGTACCATGCTGTTTTGGTTACTGTAGCCTTGTAGTATAGTTTGAAGTCAGGTAGCATGATGCCTCCAGCTTTGTTCTTTTGGCTTAGGATTGACTTGGCAATGCGGGCTCTTTTTTGGTTCCATATGAACTTTAAAGTAGTTTTCTCCAATTCTGTGAAGAAAGTCATTGGTAGCTTGATGGGGATGGCATTGAATCTATAAATTACCTTGGGCAGTATGGCCATTTTCACGATATTGATTCTTCCTATCCATGAGCATGGAATGTTCTTCCATTTGTTTGTATCCTCTTTTATTTCATTGAGCAGTGTTTTGTAGTTCTCCTTGAAGAGGTCCTTCACATCCCTTGTAAGTTGGATTCCTAGGTATTTTATTCTCTTTGAAGCAATTGTGAATGGGAGTTCACTCATGATTTGGCTCTCTGTTTGTCTGTTATTGGTGTATAAGAATGCTTGTGATTTTTGCACATTGATTTTGTATCCTGAGACTTTGCTGAAGTTGCCTATCAGCTTAAGGAGATTTTGGGCTGAGACAATGGGGTTTTCTAGAATATACAATCATGTCATCTGCAAACAGGGACAATATGACTTCCTCTTTTCCTAATTGAATACCCTTTATTTCCTTCTCCTGCCTGATTGCCCTGGCCAGGACTTCCAACACTATGTTGAATAGGAGTGGTGAGAGAGGGCATCCCTGTCTTGTGCCAGTTTTCAAAGGGAATGCTTCCAGTTTTTGCCCATTCAGTATGATATTGGCTGTGGGTTTGTCATAGATAGCTCTTATTATTTTGAGATCCATCTCATTAATACCTAATTTATTGAGAGTTTTTAGCATGAAGCATTGTTGAATTTTGTCACAGGCCTTTTCTGCATCTATTGAGATAATCATGTGGTTTTTGTCGTTGGTTCTCTTTATATGCTGGATTACATTTATTGATTTGCGTATGTTGAACCAGCCTTGCATCCCAAGGATGAAGCCCACTTGATCATGGTGGATAAGCTTTTTGATGTGCTGCTGGATTCAGTGGGCCAGTATTTTATTGAGGATTTTTGCATCAATATTCATCAGGGATATTGGTCTAAAATTCTCTTTTTTTGTTGTGTCTCTGCCAGGCTTTGGTATCAGGATGATGCTGGCCTCATAATATGAGTTAGGGAGGATTCCCTCTTTTTCTATTGATTGGAATAGCTTCAGAAGAAATGGTACCAGTTCCTCCTTGTACCTCTGGTAGAATTCGGCTGTGAATACATCCGGTCCTGGACTCTTTTTGGTTGGTAAGCTATTGATTATTGCCTCAATGTCAGAGCCTGTTATTGGTCTAGTCAGAGATTCAACTTCTTCATGGTTTAGTCCTGGGAGGGTGTATGTGTCAAGGAATTTATCCATTTCTTCTAGATTTTCTAGTTTATTTGCGTAGAGGTGTTTGTAGTATTCTCTGATGGTAGTTTGTATTTCTGTGGGATCAGTGGTGATATCCCCTTTATCATTTTTTATTGCATCTGTTTGATTCTTCTCTCTTTTCTTCTTTATTAGTTTCGCTAACAGTCTATCAATTTTGTTGATCTTTTAAAAAAAACCAGCTCCTGGATTCATTGATTTTTTGAAGGGTTTTTTGTGTCTCTATTTCCATCAGTTCTGCTCCACTCTTAGTTATTTCTTGCCTTCTGCTAGCTTTTGAATGTGTTTGCTCTTGCTTTTCTAGTTCTTTTAATTGTGATGGTAGGGTGTCAATTTTAGATCTTTCCTACCTTCTCTTGTGGACATTTAGTGCTATAAATTTCCCTCTACACACTGCTTTGAATGTGTCCCAGAGATTCTGGTATGTTGTGTCTTTGTTCTCTTTGGTTTCAAAGAACATCTTTATTTCTGCCTTCATTTCCTTATGTACCCAGTAGTCATTCAGGAGCAGGTTGTTCAGTTTCCATGTAGTTGAGCAGTTTTGAGTGAGTTTCTTAATCCTGAGTTCTAGTTTGATTGCACTGTGGTCTGAGAGACAGTTTGTTATAGTTTCTGTTCTTTTACATTTGCTAAGGAGTGCTTTACGTCCAACTATGTGGTCAACTTTGGAATAGGTGTGGTGTGGTGCTGAAAAGAATGTATATTCTGTTGATTTGAGGTGGAGAGTTCTGTAGATGTCTATTAGGTCTTCTTTGTGCAGAGCTGAATTCAATTCCTGGATATCCTTGTTAACTTTCTGTCTCATTGATCTGTCTAATGTTGACAGTAGGGTGTTAAAGTCTCTCATTATCATTGTATGGGAGTCTAAGTCTCTTTGTAGGTCACTAAGGACTTCCTTTATGAATCTATGAATCTTGGTGCTCCTGTATTGGGTGCATATATATTTAAGATCGTTAGCTCTTCTTGTTGAATTGATCCCTTTACCATTACGTAATGGCCTTCTTTGTCTCGTTTGATCTTTGTTGGTTTAAAGTCTGTTTTATCAGAGACTAGGATTGCAACCCCTGCCTTTTTTTGTTTTCCATTTGCTTGGTAGATCTTCCTCCATCCCTTTATTTTGAGCGTATGTGTGTCTCTGCACGTGAGATGGGTTTCCTGAATACAGCACACTGATGGGTCCTGACTCTTTATCCAATTTGCCAGTCTGTGTCTTTTAACTGGAGCATTTAGCCCATTTACATTTAAGGTTACTATTGTTATGTGTGAATTTGATCCTGTCATTATGATGTTAGCTGGTGATTTTGCTCGTTAGTTGATGCAGTTTCTTCCTAGCCTCGATGGTCTTTACAATTTGGCATGTTTTTACAGTGGCTGGTACCAGTTTTTCCTTTCCATGTTTAGTGCTTCCTTCAGGAGCTCTTTTAGGGCAGGTCTGGTGGTGACAAAATCTCTCAGCATTTGCTTGTCTGTAAAGTATTTTATTTCTTCTTCACTTATGAAGCTTAGTTTGGCTGGATATGAAATTCTGGGTTGAAAATTCTTTTCTTTAAGAATGTTGAATATTGGACCCCACTCTTTTCCGGCTTGTAGAGTTTCTGCTGAGAGATCAGCTGTTAATCTGATGGGCTTCTCTTTGAGGGTAACCCGACCTTTCTCTCTGGCTGCCCTTAACATTTTTTCCTTCATTTCTACTTTGGTGAATCTGACAATTATGTGTCTTGGAGTTGCTCTTCTTGAGGAGTATCTTTGTGGCATTCTCTGTATTTCCTGAATGTGAATGTTGGCCTGCCTTGCTAGATTGGGGAAGTTCTCCTGTATAATATCCTGCAGAGTGTTTTCCAACTTGGTTCCATTTTCCCCATCACTGCCAGGTACACCAGTCAGACATAGATTTGGTCTTTTCACATAGTCCCATATTTCTTGGAGGCTTTGTTCATTTCTTTTTATTCTTTTTTCTCTAAAATTCTCTTCTCACTTCATTTCATTCATTTGATCTTCCATCACGGATACCCTTTATTCCAGTTGATTGAATCGGCTGCTGAGGCTTGTGGATTCGTCATGTAGTTCTCGTGCCATGGTTTTCAGCTCCATCAGGTCCTTTAAGCACTTCTCTGCATTGGTTATTCTAGTTAGCCATTTGTCTAATTTTTTTTCAAGGTTTTTAACTTCTTTGCCATGGGTTCGAACTTCCTCCTTTAGCTCAGAGTAGTTTGATCATCTGAAGCCTTCTTCTCTCCACTCATCAAAGTCATTCTCTGTCCAGCTTTGTTTTGTTGCTGGTGAGGAGCTGTGTTCCTTTGCAGGAGGAGAGGCACTCTGATTTTCAGAATTTCCAGTTTTTCTGCTCTGTTTTTTCACCATCTTTGTGGTTTTATCTACCTTTGGTCTTTGATGATGGTGATATACAGATGGGGTTTTGGTGTGGATGTCCTTTCTGTTTGTTAGTTTTCCTTCTAACAGTCAGGACCCTTGGCTGCAGGTCTGTTGGAGTTTGCTGGAGGTCCACTCCAGACCCTGTTTGCCTGGGTATCAACAGTGGAGGCTGCAGAACAGCAGATATTGGTGAACAGCAAATGTTGCTGTCTGATCATTCCTCTGGAAGTTTTGTCTCAGAGGAGTACCCGGCCGTGTGAGGTGTGAGTCTGCCCCTACTGGGGGGTGCCTCCCAGTTAGGCTACTCGGGGTCAGGGACCCACTTGAGGAGGCAGTCTGTCCATTCTCAGATCTCCAGCTGCATGCTGGGAGAACCACTACTCTCTTCAAAGCTGTCAGACTGGGACATTTAAGTCTGCAGAGTTTTCTGCTGCCTTTTGTTTGGCTATGCCCTGCCCCCCAGAGGTGGGGTCTACAGAGGCAGGCAGACCTCCTTGAGCTGTGGTGGGCTCCACCCAGTTTGAGCTTCCAGGCCACTTTGTTTACCTACTCAAGCCTCGGCAATGGTGGGCTGCCCTCCCCCAGCCTTGCTGCCACCTTGCAGTTTGATCTCAGACTGCTGTGCTAGCAATAATTGAGGCTCCGTGGGCATAGGACCCTCCAAGCCAGGTGCAGGATATAATCTCCTGGTGTGCCGTTTGCTAAGACTGTTGGAAAAGCACAGTATTAGGGTGGGAGTGACCCGATTTTCCAGGTGCCATGTGTCACCCCTTTCTTTGACTAGGAAAGGGAATTCCCTGACCCCTTGTGCTTCCCGGGTGAGGTGATGCCTTGCCGTGCTTTGGCTCATGCTTGGTGCACTGCACCCACTGTCCTGCACCCACTCTCCGACACTCCCCAGTGAGATGCACCTGGTACCTCAGTTGGAAATGCAGAAATCACCCATCTTCTGTGTTGCTCACACTGGGAGCTGTAGACTGGAGCTGTTCCTATTTGGCCATTTTGGCTCCACCCCCCTCAAAATTATTTAGTGCATATAATTAACATGTTCTCTTCTGAAAATCAGGTATTTGCTTATCTTTGATCTTCATCCCACTTATACTTCTCCATTATTTCTTTAAAAACATTCTCAGTAATTCATTTTCTTTAATAGTAAATTTTATCAGTACCCCAAAGTTGTAATTTGTCTCAGCAGGAAGACTGAACAGCATTTAAAGCGAGTTTTTCCCCAATTTTTTCACCTATATTGAGCTGCATATCTTTCTGACAGATGTTTATTCTACTCTTTTCATTCTCAAGAACATTTATGCCCTTTAACAGAGAAGCTATGAAAAATCAAATTTAAATTGTTCTGTTTTCTTTCTGTCAAATTTCAGCATTTTAATCTCTCTGCTCCATACTAGAAATCTCTTTTCCTTGTCCTATTTCTCCTAACAGAGATCTTAACATTTTTTGCTATAATGTCATTGTATGGGCTTTATCTTAGCCTTTCTTCCTTACCTTGCCCTTGTTTGAATCAGTAGGCTAGTGTATGTATTCATTGCCACACATAATTTTGTTGTTAATCCAAAATATTTTATCGGGGATTTTGTTCCAGTCAAAATATTTTTTTCTGGGTGCTGTGGGGAATATCAAGGTAGAACATGGGCCCTGACTTTCGAGGACCTTGTAAGATTTTCAAGATGGCATAAGGTGAGTCTTATATTATAGCCTGAGTGGTTCTACTGACAAGGTCATTAGTTCTTCTTCGCCAATGGTAGCACCAGAGGCAATGCATATTGTAATGTTTGCAACCATGATGCATGTTATAAAGTGTATTTGTATGCATTGTCATTTTTTCTTCTCTTTATCATGGAGTCATAAGCAGACACCCCATTTATAGTTACTGCACACTTATTTATTAACCTATTGGTTGTATGCCTTAGTGGTAATTTTGGATGAGTTTTTCCAGTGTTGCTCTTTTTCCTTATTAATTGTTTCAGAAATAGTTGAAGAAGAATAAGAAACAAGAGTAGCACCTGGCTTTATAATTATAAACCCATTTTTTTTTAACTAACCCTTACAAATCTCTCTCTGAACCAATTTGGTGTCATGCCTTCTGGGGACAACTCACACTAATGCCTGCTGCTCAGGTAAACAGCAGAGCGAAGCCCATACCTAACACAGTATTCTGTGAATGAGAGTTGACATTTGACAGGGGCTGGAAATCCATGTTTTGTTTGTTTTGTTTTGCTTTGTTACCCCACAGGCTTACAAAACATCCTCCTGTAAAAGTAACCAGGCTTATGGATGGTCTTCATTATAAGTAGATGAAATATGCTTTTTCTCTGTCTTTCCCCCTAAAGAAAGTGTATTAGAACCAAATGAGTTAATGTAGCACCATTATAGGGATAACCTTGATTCAGTCCATTGAAACTTCTGAACTTAGTTTTATTAACTAGTTAATTTCACACTTAACAGCAGTAATCCAATGTTTTGAGAAGCTAACTTAAGTCCATCGAAGTGAAAATCCTGGATCATTTAGGGAATGGCTCCAGAATAGAAAACAGAAGTATTTTGTCTTCTCCAAAGAAGAAAAAAGAAGCTCCAAAGAATGGATTAAACTGTCCAAATTGAAATGAAAGACTCAAGAAGTGTCAAGACTCAATAGATAGCAATTGGTTCTGACAAAACAAGAAAAAAACTATTCAGGAATTTTAGAAGAAAAAAAAAACAGTAACAACTTGTGCATAGAAGTTCACCAAATAATTATTTTAACATATTTTCAGTCATGTGTATCAATTGTTAATTCTGCAATTTGGCTTACTATGGCTTTATAATAGTCACAAAATTAATCCAGTCAATTTATAAAAATGTTCATTTGATAAAGCATTGATCTAAAACTCTATAATTCTAGAAACCTGTTGCCAGAGTTGAATGAACTTGTTTTTTTTCCCCTCCTACCCCAGTAAACCTTCTAGGTTCCCACAGTTTTGCTCATAGGCATGCATCTGCAAATTTTCAGAGCATGATTCCAAACAAATGTGCCTAAAATACCCCATTTCAACAGTTTTTATTTTGACTTACAACATCCAGAAAGCAACTATGAACTTTTAAAAATAAAATTGATTGGAGCTATTTGGAACACATTATTCTTGTATTCTCTTGGTGGCCCTTGAATAAAAACTTTTCAACCAATATCTTAGACACCCAAGGACCCAATGGTTGAGAGTACCAAGTTGGCCCACTGCTTAATGACCCATCAGGTATTGTACCAGGTGTAAAATAAAGTGTTCAGGACAGGTACTAGTACACTACATAAGCCTTATGGACACTAATAAAATTTGAGCATACCCTCTGGTTTATAAGATGGCTGATATTTCTTTTCCTCCAAATTTTCCTCCCAGACGGGGTCGAATTTCCCAGCTAACAGTGTATAATATCACTAAGTATACATGGGAATTGGCACGGAAGAAATTAAGATAGGCAGTTTGACTCTTTGGATTCTCAGGGACATCTACTCCAGGCAACATAACATTACACGGTCATGAGACATATTAGAAAATAACCGTTGAAAGGAAGACAACATATTTTTCAAACTCTAGGCAAACCCAGATGCTTCTTTGGGAAAGAATTCTAAAGCTCAGGCAACTGCAAATGCTTCCTTTTTCAGACTATCATCTTCTTGATGTTTAAAAATATAAAAACACATTAAAGTCTTACTCAAAATGCATCTGGCTGGTATAAATCAGATGTTTGGTGATGGGCAATATGATATGTGGAATATTTTTACCCATTAAGAATGACCCGTTTTAAACTTGCCAGCATTCTTTTTTTCCTGTACTTAAAAAAATCTTTTATAGCTCTGTTTCATGTAATTTATTTTCCATGCATACATATGCTATATATGCAAAAGTTTTATTTATATTTATATATTCACCTTATTCTGTATTCACCACACACTTATTCCAGTCTCTGAAGAACTTATTATAATAAACAATGCAGTAAAACTTAAGTAGCTAATCCTCAGCATTTTCCCCCAGGTGCCATTATTCCAATTTCACAGATGATAAAACTGAGGTAGAGAAAATAATGTATTTATAACTTCAGAATAAATAAGATTATAGCCAAGGACTTTTTTTTTCATACCACAGAGCTGTTCTTCTGGTTACATATTTCCAGCCTAATTTCAAACTCAAATTTAATCTTGTTCCTTTCTGACTTTTATGTTATGGGTTTTGTTTTCATGTGACCACTGAACTGTTTGTTTTTGAACCTATATCTTTTTGGCTTTCTTAACAATCCATTTCTTCACCACTGATCTAATGGAATGTACGTTCAAGATACTCTGTTTTTTAGCTAGTTCAGTCATCAGACCTATAATCTTTTGATCCTGTATGTTCATTCCTAGATTAATGTCTGTTTTGGTGACATCAGAAATCCAGACATCAGAAAACGACACTGTGGGCATTTTAAACATTATTCAAACATGAAATTCAACATCAAATCCATTTATTTATGTTTGCAGCTGTACTTACTGGTGCCTTTATCAACACACATATCTCATATACTCCAGGAGCAAGTAATTTTCAAAGCTGAATTGCAACCTATGTGCAGCATGGTGTTCCTTAGGGACTCCTATCAGCTGAGACCAGAACCCAGAGGGAGCACAGAGCCTGCTAACAGGCACCTGATGACTGCTTCCCTGGGCATTCCCAGCCATGCACTCTTGACAGCAGGGAAACCATATGCAGATCTGTCTTTAGTGTGTCATCCAAGGAAACTGTAAAATATCCTCATATCATCATTCCTAATATGACATTTTCTCACTCAGAGTTATTTCCAGCATTCCCATTAAAATCCCATAAGGCAGTGTTTTCTTGACAAATTTATAAAAAGGGAATATCTTTCTTATCTGTAGGGAGCTTAATTTAACTAGCAATCTAAATGGATCCAAGCAAAGTATCATGGAGGACATGCCATTGAATAGGTCTTCTACCTAGTTTTATGGCAATGGACAGGAGGGAGGGAAAAATGGCCTGGTGCATATAGGCTGGCTTGATTTCCAAAATCAAGATCCTCTTGAAATTTATATGGGAGTGTTACTGAAGAGGAACAGGTGCGTTTTTGTCCAGAGAGTTTCAGAGAGCTGATGTATTTGGAGGGCATGCTAAAGGATTTATTTCACTTTGAACTGGGATCGTAGTTGAACAATTCAGGTTTGTTTGCAAGCCTACTGAATAATCAAAGCAAATTTGAAGTAGTCTTTTCCAGATATGATAAAATGGGATTCATACAACCCTAAGTTTCTGGTCTGAGAAAGGAATTCTGCATATTCAGACCCGTGGAGATAACCTAGCAACCTATATCGAGGGCATAATATGTGTAATCATGCAACCTTCATGAGGAAGAAAGGAAATATAATTGTTTTAAGCAACAAGAGTGTAAGGTTA
The DNA here is from genome assembly GCF_000001405.40 of Homo sapiens. Lineage (NCBI taxonomy): Eukaryota > Metazoa > Chordata > Mammalia > Primates > Hominidae > Homo > Homo sapiens. The sequence goes on along the minus strand of NC_000003.12, from coordinate 117,773,564 downwards.
TAGGCGATAATGGACACAGTGTCTAACTAGAGTTTGTATATTCTGCCTAAAGATCTTCAAGTTAGCCAAAGAATATGAAACAAGAAGTATGGTATTAGCCAAATAAATCACATAGAGCAGCTTGATTTCACAAACACTTATTTTGATACCCTTGCTAACACCTTGTCATTTTTTCCACAGCTTGGAAGTGAGGACACACTGGATTTTTTAAGCATCTGCGAGAGTATAAGAGCTCCTTCCTGTGATCTTGGAGATTACACTTATAATTTTGTCACACCTAATTCATAATAGCTGATATTTATTGGGTTGCATACTATGCCAGACCCAGCATTAAGTACTACCCATATATATTTTTATTTCATAATTTTATAGGTAAGGAAATTCGTGTTTTAAGGATGCCAAATGAGTTACTGAAATCCAAATTACTTTCCTCATTTTACACACACACACATACACCTGTATGTGTACATACATATATGTACACACGAACACACATACATAGGTTATATAATTGTATCTTAAGTGAAATTATCTCTGTGTTCCTCAGTTTACTGAGTGAATACTAAACCTGGAAGGTTCAAGTTCTCGAATTCTATGCCACCCCAAACTTAGGTCATTTATTGCCTTTTATTGTTTATATGCATATGTGTATTTTTGAAATTGTTCACTATCTTCTTCCCACACTGAGGACAGGTATAGTTGTTTTGTCTCCGTATTTACGTGGCTTGAGGTAGTCACTGGGTTGCTGAATATAACAATGAATGGCAGTTATGGGCACAAGCCTGCACGTGAAGATGAGGGCATAAAGGCTTAGGTTCAATAACTTGCTGGAAATCACACACACAGCAAGTGACAGAACCAGGGCTTCAGCCTAGGATTGTTCAATTCCAGGATTTATACTTTCCTTGGTGCTTTAGAATCTCTGAGAATTAGAGAGTCTGTCTAAAATGTTACATTATCAAGAGAGCTCAGGTAATTTTATTTATAATAGTCAAAGCATTTGTTTGTTGTCATGTGCGTTAAATAGCTGGTTGATGGACTGATTTGGGCCATGATTTTCCTACAGAGGCAGTCATGGTCTAATTTCATAGAAGAGTAGAAAGTGATGATCATTTGTAATCATGTTGAGGCTAGTTATTCTAAATTGATGTTTTATAATACCTTCCTTTGATGTTAAAAATATTCCAATATGGGCCTTTCTTTTTATTCATAAGCCACATTATCTATACGTTTTCATTTTTATTTATTAAAAGTCATGAGGAAAGAAACATTGGATAGAAGTGGAAAATAAGAGAAAAAATGTAGAAAGAATAATGAAAGAATAATAATAACAGGGAAAAGAAAGAAAATCAAATCCTGAGTCAAAGGATCCTCAAAGTCTCTCACAGACTAAATGTCCATGACTATTTAGTTGAAACATAACTCATCTACTGCAGATTGATTTCTACCAACTTGAGCACATGGAGGGTTGTGAGCTGCTTAAGGAAAAGCATAGATATTACAGCTAAACACATCAGCCTTGAATCTTGTCTCACACTTGTAATTGGTGTGTGGATATGTAAGTTACTGAATTTTTTTAAGCCTCAGTTTTCTTATCCAAAAATAGGAATAAAAATAAGTATCCAGCATGCAAGCTTGTTATAAGGATTCAATCAATCAGCTCTGACAAGTCCTTAGAAAATAAGTAGATTTTCAACAAGTGCTTATGCTGTCTTGGAGAAAACAGCTATGCCACAGCTATCAAAATGATTAGGAGGTTCCTATTGCATCTTTTAGTTTTATCTATGTTCTATTTTTACTTGCAGTTTCCCCCAAATATATAATAATGTTAATAAAATTAATTACTCGTCATCATTTTCTATGTGTTTATATATAAGTATTTCTGATGCTAAATGCTTTACGCATATTGCCTAGTTTAATCTTAAAAACCAAAAAGGAAACTAAGGATCTGAGACATTAAAAAAAAAAAAACAAAAAACTTCCCTAGGATACATAGCCAGGAAATGGCCATAAATGCACTGAAATATAAACCAGTGCCATTACCCGATCAAATATTTCCAAAAACTTTCTTTTGCTTACATGGCAATGGTCAGCTGTCACAACAGTTACTAGTATTCCCACTTTACAAATGAGAAAACGGAGGCTTAGGAAAATTTTCTTCAGGACTTCATATTTTGGCTCAATGTTGATACCAAACATGCATTATGTAAAGCCTTCGAGCCTTCCCCGGAACAGTGTGGGAAGGGAAAATGTTCTTTCTCCTCTCTTTGCCTTTCTGAATCTCAAGACCCATCTTAGGTACAACCTTCATGAGAGCCTTCAATCCACATGCTCTCTCTCTCTTTGTTCTGAATATAGATTTTTCTTGCCCAAAACTGGAATATTGGCTGTTTTGCTTAACAACCAGGCTCCTGAACCACACTGAGGATTCAGTAGGTATATGAACATAATTTTAGATACAAATTAAGAAGTACTTAAAGAGTTCCTATTGCATGAAAAGCTCTGCACTTGATGCTGCTTAGGATATAAAGTTAGGCAAGATATTGTCCCGCCTCTCAAAAAGCGTATACCATCACCTACTAAGCCCTATGTATTTTTAAAGATCTCAATAAATACTTGACATGAATAAATATACAGATGAATAAATGCTGTTGGGACAATAGTTTTTCTAGACACCAAGGAGACTTCAGAATAACGGAATGCACATCCTCTTCCTTCGTGTGATTTAGAGGCAAGTTGAAAGGAGAATATAAATACTATGCAGTGGGTAGATCCAATTACTTTTTGCCACCTTAATGGGGAAATTGTGACCTTTTGGGTTCAGAGTAATCCTCTGAGTGAAGCCGCAATATGACCTTGAATAGAAATGACTTGGCATACTTGTTTCTGACCGAAAAGCAACCAGTTCTGGCATTTGTGGGAAGCTGATCTGTAGGAACCACTAAACAGCTTCCACATTGCATTATCACCCATTTTATGAAACAGGAAGACTCTTAATGTTAATTCTGTAATTTGAGAATTAATATTGTGGTTTTACATCCTGTAAATTAAAGCTGTATGATGACCAAAGAGCTGGCACACAGAACATCCAACAGTTTGCATCAGAATGCAGACAAGCCAAGGACAAATGGCTTGGCTGTGCCTGGGACCTACTAGGCCTCCCTTTACTTCCTGGAATACATGGCTACACCATCTTTCCTCAAGTGCCTTCACCTCAGTCTTCATCTTGACCTTTGTTTTTGCACTTCAGTTTGTACTCAGTTAATATATACCTGCCAATGTATTTCCATTGATTGCACAGAAGCTAGCTGTTAATATAACTTTAGAGAACTAACTTAGCCCCAAAATAGTATATGCATTGACTTTGTGTAGAAAAGGAAAAAAAAAATTTTCTCAAGGCCTTGTTAATGGACTATTTGTCAATTTTGATACTTTGATGATCCCAACCACAGTAGTCATGCTTGAAGATGTTTTGAAATGTTAGGGAAATGCTACAGTTGGCATGATAGCAGTGTTTTCCTTGAGATGGGCATTCAAAACCATGCATTTAGTCTTTTAGCCTTTTGCCAGGTTAGTGCATATTTTTCCTCTCAGTTGCTTGTAGATTAAGTCAGGAGTAAGAAGACTTGTTCATATAAGTTGGGGAATGAAAAGTATTAGTAGATTTTAAGTGTCATTAAAGTGAAAGCCATTCTGTCTCTCTTATTTCTGTATTTCCATTCCCTAGAAAATAGAAAATTCTTGATGTATATTTGTTAACTGAATAAAAAGGAAATACTTGGGGCTTTTAGGCTTATATCAGAGGTATTGATGGCAATTTAATGATGCCACTTTACTGTATCTCTTTTAAGGGATGATGGGTGTATCTACACAAGACATCTCTGTGGGTTGGAGTGGGTGGGAGGGCCTGGGACCCAGAGGGAGAATAAAAAATATTTGCTAAAATTTCTGTCTCTCTGGACCTAGTTCTTTTTTCATCTTATTGAGGAAACCAGTCCCTCTTAACATACACAAGAGTAGTAAGTCATTGGTATAAATCAAAATACATCTACCTCAAAAAATGACCAAGACTTTTATGAGAAAAGTTTCATTTGTAATTTTATTTTGTGTAATTTATGTTGCTCTCCTGGGGTCTTCATTAGTCACAGAACTGTAGCCAATTTCTGCCACCCCAGAGGCTGTCAAAAAATATGTCTACCTTTTTTACTTCTTGATTTAGATATTAAAGGAGCAGATTTCCTTCAGAGATTTAGTGTTTAATTCTGAACAAGCAAAGGTCTCTGAGTCATTCTGTTTCATATCATGAATTTTATCAGATTTAAAGTGTTTTCACTCTTTATTGCTCTGTGCTAAATAGGGTTTCACAAAAGCTTAGGATCTCAATGGAAAAATCCATGTACTCACATGCTATGGAACTACTGAAGTAAGGTTGGTCATTTGCACAGGTAATGCAAGCTTCAAAGAGTGTTTGAAGAAGAGAAGTATGGTTAGAAGGAAAGAATAGAGATTCGAGGGAGAGAAAGGATATGTGGTTTGGCATTGACAAGGACTAGCAGAGGAAGCAGATACAGCACATGGTCAGAACTTAGATCTGTCAAAAATGACCAATTAGCATAAAGCCTAGTAAACAAAAATAAATTGTCTTAAGGAGGACTGTAAGGCAAAAAAGCTTCCACCCTGGTACTTCCTTGTATTCCAGAGTGTATCAACGTTGGCATTATGGTGTACTGGAGGCTCTAACCACTAATTGAAATTCGTGTGTTTATGGAGATATGTTTTGGCTCCTAAGTTTGCGTTTGGGAGACTTGGCCCAGCATTACTGACTGCATAATTAGCTTACCCATTTTCATTTCATGAAGGCACCATTTCCAACATCTATCTAACACCCACTTTAAGCCCAATTGTATCTGAAGGAAGGAACTGAGAATACAACTTTCTATGTTTCTTCATTTGACCGGGGAGTTAATGGGCTTTGAAGGGGATGGGGTCACTGCAACATAATCTGAAGCAGTGACTTGTGGCAATCTTCTTTAGAGACACACATCTGTAACTAACCCCTTCTTACAGGTCTGCTCAGGGTGACATTCAGCCTGTTCTGTTCAAGACCACCATGTATTCTTGTGGACTGAACAGGGGGCATTCAGTGCCACAGCACAGCACAGAGAAACTAACCCAGATATTTTAGGACACATTTTTATAGCTAATAAAAATGCATGTTTCAATATTTAAATTATACCAACTACTGTTGACTTTTATATTTCAATTTTAAATGCAGTTTAGCCAATGCATCATCCAGATTACTCTTTGTAAAAGGCAACTTAGATAGCCTTCTAAAGTGGCCAGTAGGAGAAAGAGAATTTAAAGATGAGGACTTTGAGTGTTTACTCTGGGAAGACAGATAGAGAAGGTTAACGTATCACCATAAATAATTTGGAAAATGTGTGAATGTTTTGAGTTAATTACATACTTCAAAACTTGAAGCAGTATGAAGTGTTCTATTTTTCTTCTGAACATCTATCCCAGCAATCGGAGGATATTGAAAGAAAAAAGGATTATTATTATTATTATTAAAGTATTATTCAGTAAGTATTTTCAAAGTGGCTATTCTGTGTAAAATACTATGAGGATACAGAGAAAGTTTAAGACCTAGCTTCTGTCCTGGCAGTATTTATCCTCATTATAGGAAAAAGATCAGAATACTTGACTCAATTAGAAAGCAATAAAAACAATCTATGATTAAAGGATACATTGTATATTATATGCTCAGTTCTACAGACACTCAGTGAAGGAGGATTAAAAAAATGGAATAATCAAGAAAAGGTAAAAGAAAGAGCTGATGGTAGAAATAGGAAAATGTTACCTACTGATTAAATCCTTGATTAATGTCATTGTTAGGACCTAGAATAACAATTATAAAACCTTTTCATAATCTACAAAGCTCTTTACGATCTGTTCTTTACCACCTTTGCAACCTCAACACCCACCTCCACCTGCTTTGCCCCCTGTACTCCACATATGTAAAATGATTTTCAATCCCAGAAGTTACCCTCAGTCACATGATTCTATCCTTGGTATATTCTGACTCCTTTAACTAGAAAGCCTACTCCTTGTTTATCTAATTCAATTGAGAAGTCCTTTCTCATCTTAAAGTGGAAATACTACTTCTTTGGTAAAGTTCTCTGAAGTTTTCTTGTCCTGCATATTTTCTGTGTCTTATGTTACCAGTGAACATCTTAGTCATTTTGGGCTACTATATCAGAATTTCATATGCTGAGTAGCATTAACAAGAATCACTTATTTATCACAATTCTGGAGGATGGGAAGTCCAAGATCAAGGTACTTGCAGATCCAGTATCTGATAAAGGGCTGCTTCATGGTTTGTAGATGGCCATCTTCTCCTTGGATCCTTGCATGGCAGAGAGTAAATAATGAGCATCTCTCTCATGCTTCTTCTTATAAGGGCACTAATGCTATTCATCTGGGATTACATGACCTTACGACCTAATTACCTCCCAAAGTCCCATCTCCAAATATCATCACATTGGGGATTTAGCCTTCAACATATGAATTTGGAGGGGACAGAAACATTTAGTTCTTAGGACTCAACTTTGCACAAAATTGTCTTGTCTCACAGATGTTGTCTTGATATTTGTGTTAGTCCATTCTCACACTGCTATAAAGGACTATCTGAGACTGGATAATTTATGAAGAAAAACGGTTTAATTGACTCACAGTTCTGCATGGCTGCGGAGGCCTCTGGAAACTTACAATCATGGTGGAAGGCAAAGGGAAAGCAGGCACATCTTACCATGGCAAAGCAGGAGGTGTGGTGGGGGAAGTGCCACACTTATAAACCATTGGATCCCCTGAGAACTCATTCACTACCATAAGAACAACATGGGGGAAGCCACCCCCATGATCTAATTACCTCCCACCAGGTCCCTCCCTTAGTGCTTGGGGATTACAATTTTAGATGAGATTTGGGTGGGACATAGAGCCAGATCATGTTAATATTATTTGTTTTATTGCCTTCTTATTAGTTGATGAGTGACCTGGTAACAAGACCTAACTGGTTGTTCTTTCCATTCTTGGCATAGAATGCCAAAGAATGTTGGTTGAAAGAGTGACTGAATCAGTGTATGGATGTTAAAAAAAAGAAAAAAAAAAAAGAAATTTCAAATGGGCTGGTGAATGGTGAATCAGGATTGCTAATTAACTGAACACTAAATAAAGGTTTTTTTTTTTGTTGTTGTTGTTGTTGTTTTTTGAGATGGAGTCTCGCTGTCGCCCAGGCTGGAGGGCAGAGGTGCAATCTTGGCTCACTGCAGGCTCTGCCCCCTGGGGTTCACGCCATTCTCCTGCCTCAGCCTCCCCAGTAGCTGGGACTACAGGCGCCTGCCACTTCACCCGGCTAATTTTTTTTTTTTAATTATTATTATACTTTAAGTTTTAAGGTACATGTGCACAACGTGCAGGTTTGTTACATATGTATACATGTGCCATGTTGGTGTGCTACACCCATTAACTCATCACTTAGCATTAGGTATATCTCCTAATGCTATCCCTCCCCCCTCCCCCCACCCCACAACAGTCCCTGGTGTGTGATGTTCCCCTTCCTGTGTCCATGTGTTCTCATTGTTCAATTCCCACCTATGAGTGAGAACATGTGGTGTAACTATCGCAAGGACAAAAAACTGGCTAATTTTTTGTATTTTTAGTAGAGACGGGGTTTCACCATGTTAGCCAGGATGGTCTCGATCTCCTGACCTCGTGATCCGCCTGCCTCGGCCTCCCAAAGTGCTGGGATTACAGGCGTGAGCCACCATGCCCGGCCTAAATAAAGTTTTGTTTTAATTCTAACCATTGGCATAAAAATGTTTTCAATGAAGCATTTATTGATTTTCCTGCCTAACTACATGGTACACAGTACAATGATTCATTTTTTTTAAGCCTCGAAGATGTTGATTTGTTTTATTTTGAGCAATTCTCTTACTCTGGGTTTTCATGAAGAAAATTCCAAAGGATTGAGTTGAATATTTACCAATATAACCCATACTAAAAAGTTAATCTTCTGAATGAATCCCTGACATGAGCTTCTTTTATTATGATTTATCTGCTTTTTCCTAAAAGCTGAATATGAGAAAAAAAATTTTAATGAAAAATTCAAAATCAAAATGTTGCTGTTGCAGGAATGACAGCGCAATGAATAACAAGTCCGTAGGCAAGAGAAGGATAATGGATCCACTGAATGCAGTCACTTTCTAATACCAGGCTTATTAGTCCTGTGTTGAAAGCACTATCAACCAGTTGCATAAGGTCATTCACTTTTCTTTCCAGAAATTCTATAGAGAAGATAATGAAAGGTTAATCTTGCACTCATCATTAGCTAAAGAAACTCCTCCTTTTAAAATAAGGAGGAGTCTGCTATTTATCATCACCAATCTTCCCTCAGACCCCTGTGTGTGTTCCTTAAAAATTTACTCATTTTTGAACACGTGGACACAGGGAGGGGAAAAATACACACTGGGGCCTGTCGGGGTATGGGGTGTGGGAAGGGAGAGCATTAGGAAAAATAGCTAATGCATTCTGGGCTTAATACCTAGGTGATGGGTTGATAGGTGCAGCAAACCACAATGGCACACATTTACCTATGTAACAAACCTGCACATCCTGCACATGTACTCTGGAACTTAAAAATTAAAATTAAAAAAAATTTACTCATTTTTCTCTCACAGTCTTTTTTTTAACACCCATTAAAAGCTTCATTGAATGGAAGAATGCACAATCCAAATTTTATCTAGTTTTGTCGTACATAGCCTATTTTGCCACAATCAAAGAGCCAGATTAATATACACATACTCCCAGAGGTAAAGTTCTCTTCCCTACTGATATTCAAATAGATTTCAACAATCACACATCCTAGGAAATATTTCAACCAAGTTATGAGGAGAGAGGACTTAAAAAACTTTTATTTTTGTGTTAAAAATATGCATTCCGCATTTGCAACGTGTAGGCTCCCTTCTGTGCACTGGGGCTATGGTCTATCCATTCTTGTACCTATGCTCAGTGCAGAGCACACAGGCGATTCTCAGAAAAGTTTGTTGAATACTTAACACAATTCTTGAGGAACTTGGAGTTCTGCAGAAAAGCAAACAGCTGGCAACTTCAGACAAAATGGCAATTGGGTAGCTACCTTGGGAACGCAGCTGATGGAGAGTTCAAGACTACTTCGGGGCAGCAGGTGGGTGTTATAAGGGGATGCTTAAGCTGGATTTTAACAGAGATGCAGAAACAGATGGGTCAGGCACACCGAGCAAGGAGCAGCGTTCCAGGTAAAGAAAGACACAGGCACAGGCATGGGCTTGGCAAAGGGCCTGGAGAACCTTTCTGATTGAGTCAAATGCCTCATTTCACAATTTCATGGCAGCTGGGAAATGGGACCTCACTGGAATGTGGTGGGTTTCTCTTGGTATCCAGAGGAAAAATGAGCTGATATAGCAAACTGGCAGCCGAAACCCCTTGAAGCGCTGAGAGTACCTCTGATGTTTCCCTGTAGACCCTGAGAAAGACTGGTCCAGCCCAGCCCCTCTATTTTAACTTTTACTTCTTCCAAATCACAAAATGAAATGGAGTTTTCTTCAAAGTGACAGCTAAATCTAAGCCCCTCACCAGCTGCTGTACCAGTGCCGCTTAATTCTGTAATCCTTTTGCCCTCCGTTCCTCGATGTGGTTAGCAAATGCCAGGAAATGTTGGAGTGACAAGTGAGTTCTCTGTGCCTGACACTTCTGCCAGAAGACTTGATAAACTGCAAATACCATCACAGTCATTTTTCAGGTGCCGGCTCAGAAACATGCCCAGGGAGGAACCAGTCCTGGGAGGTAAAATGCTTCCCCTCCCTTCCTGCCTCCCTTCTCCTGTCTTACATTTCTATGAACTTGGCATGTTTCTCAGAGCTGTTTTCAATGGAGTACTTCTGGGGAATATTTTCTTTCACATCTTTAAAATTGAGTGACATTAAATCATATGCTCTGTTTTCTTTCCATGGATGATAGTCCTCCCCTGCCTAAAGAGAGAGGCTGAGAATGGACGAATGGTGAGATCCCAGAATAGCTATCAGTGTCAGACCACATCCCATAGCTTTTCAGAGTGCAGAAACACATCCTGAGTGGCTCAGATTTTCCCCACAATCTACACCCTACAACACAATTTTCAAATGAACTTCTTCTGCTGGGAAACTTGGAAACCCCTCCTCGTTTAACACACTGTCATCCTAGTGTTCACTGTGCTAAGAGAGACATCTGAGTCTCTCTCTCTGTCTCTGTCCCTCTCTCCTCTCTTCTCTCTCTCTCCCCCTTCCCCTCTCTGCTTCTCTCTCTCTCCCCCTCTTTCTCTTCTCTGCTTCTCTCTCTCTCCCCCTCTTTCTCCTCCTTCTCTCTCTTTACCTATCTTTCCCCCTCCCTCTCCCTCAGTCCTTCTCCCTCCCTCCCTCTCCGTCTCTCTCTCTCCCCGTCTCTGGGGAACAGTATTAGTATTCCATGGTACACTCTTAAGCAAAACCTGAGAAAGGAATTAATCTGTCACTAGGAATGAATGCACTGGACAGTGATTTATGCAGATGCTGTACTCGAAGTGATGGTGTTCATTTCATCTGCACTTCTCACAGCCCTTCTTACAGGCAGCACACAAACTTGCATTTAAAATAACGTTGCAGCTGGGTGACTGTCTGGACACTGCCCGGAGCTGGGCTACCCTGGTACTAGCCACCAGAAAACCCAACAGAAGGGCAAACAGGCAGCTCACACAGCTGAGTCAGATTCTGGAATATCCAGATCCACAACTTCTGCACCCTGGATGTCTGAGGAAGAGGCAGGTTTACAAATTATCTGTGAACTCAAGTCCATCCACTCTTTCTCCTTGTAAGCCTGGTCTCAGAAACTCCCCAGTGTCTGATTGGCCCTTGCCCCTCTTTTTTACAGCCCTTGATGCTTTGAGATTCTGGTCATAACCAGGGAAAGATTCATTAGGGCTGGCATTTTTTCTGGCTGGCTGGCCGGCTTCTGCACCGTTTTCTGGCAGTGAGGCTGGGAGTCTCCCTAGAGAGCCTATTTTCTTGAAATTCTCCTTGTAGTTTTACATACATAAGTGGACTGGATGAGGCTGTGAGAAACAGCCTTGCTTTGGAACACTAATCTGAATCAAACTTCCAAATCCCTTGAAGTTCAAGCTATCAGTAGAGAAGACCTGAAATAAACAAGCCTCTCACTGCCCCTACACACCCCTGCCACCCCCTGACTCAGCACCAGTCTCCTCCCCAGGGCTGGAAAAGTCTCCTGGGTTCTGCTTTTATACTTGCAAATGGCAAGCAAGACTGTAGATCCTGCTTTTCCAGGCCGGCAGCTTTCTGCAGACATTACTCCTGCCATTGTGGTTGTGATTACTAGTATTTTTTTCCACTCCCTCTGCTGTCTAAAAATTCATCTGGGATTTATCTCCATAATGAGGAAAGGGAGATAGGGAAACGCTGGGGCATTTTTCTCTGACTTACATTATTTGTCATTTTGATACTCATTTTAAAAGATGCTTTTCAAATATTTAAATGTATGTGTGCTCACATAACAGTTCCTCAGGATGAATTGCAGATGGCACAATCACTGCTTTATCTCTCTTATGCTCTAGGCCTTGCTCCTAAACTGGCTGCCAACAGGAACTTGGTCAGAAGAAAGGGTAGGTTAGAAAGAGTATGAACTCTGATCTCCATGAATAGCAGTTTTCCTCTCATTCCTTCAAAGATCCTAACCTGAGTGTACTGGCTTCTTTACCTCTCATCTCTGGGATGCCCTGACCAGGCTGGAAATGACAGACAGGAAGCAAGACTTGAGCTTCATGAATGTAAATATCCTCTGTGTCCCTCTCCCCCCATAAGACACACACACACACACACACACACACACACACACACACACACACACACACACACACACTTCACTAAATAGAAGCAAGTAAATACGGTCCTCTCGCCACTTTCCTAAATTCTGGTTAAAGATATGACAGATATAAAAAACAGTCAACCTCATTTGTAATGAGACTCCCACTTTACTGATAGTGGATCAACGAGAGCATGTGTAGGTTTAGCTATGCAGACAGTGAACAGAATTTGAAATGCAGGATGTTAAAATGTCCAAGACCAATTATTCTAAGGTTGGTGCTTCTGTGTAGAAGAGCCTAAGAGAAGATTAAGAATCCACATTTCTAAAGCACATAAGCCAAATTGGGAGTGAATAAGCAGGAGAATCTTAAAAAGGCAGTTTCATTAAAAAGCATGTCATTTACTTAAATGTTTCTTGAGTGCCTACTATGTTTCTATGACTGTGCTAGGCACTGTGGTTACATTGGAAAGATAAAAAATACTACACCTGGTTAAACAAGTTTTAATGGGAGAGGGGGTAATGAGATATGAGATGAGGATGCAGCAATCATAAGGAGCAGTAGCCAAAAATTGTGAATCATAGATGAAGAGAGCCGTATCCTGGCCTCAACTGGAAATAAAACCAGAGAGAACTGGGCGGACAAACCAGGCAGACAATGTCGACTACTTTAAAACTCTAAGAAAAGAAACAAATATGCACATTCTCTTAGCAATTCACAGTGGTTCTAGGAAGGACAAACCTGATTAATCCTTTGTCATGGCATTAAAAGGGGTCAATTTAGGGCAAGATAATGGAGGTTCTGTGACCTCCATTATTAGGAGCCAAACTTTGAACAGAAAATTACAGATCTCTCCTCCTGCAAATGACACGTTTCCCAGAAGCAGTCTAGCTTCCCGGAAATCACCATAGAAATACTAAGTCTCTTATCAATTAAACTCAAAAACTATTTCTTTAGTGCCTACTTTGTACAAGGTCCTATGCTTGATGCTCAAACATTATGGCGGCTGCAGTGACTTTCAAATACAACTGCACTCTCAGTCTTTGTTGACAACTCCCAAATCCTCCTCTTCATCTCCAATTTCTCATCTTTTTTCTATTCAAGCCAACAAGCCATCAGGCAGTATGTGTCTGATCAGCTGCATGCACAGTTCTCTGCACGTTCCTGTGTGAGCTACAGAAAATAGAGACAGTCTGGCTTCTACACTCAGAGTGACTATCATGTGTCTCAGGAGACAGAGATAGTTACATAACGAAACTACAGAGTGGTTCAAGACAGCATTTAATTAAATTCTAAAATGTATGGTACAGTCTAGAATGAAGTAGATGCTTAGAAGACTAGTAGGGTCTTTAAATGTAGAGGTTTTCAGACATAGGAGAATTATGAATGGAACTGTAGATGATGAGTAATGAAGAAGAAAGCATATGCAAGGTATGCACTTAACTCACTGTTTCTTCATGAAATATTTTCTTCCATTTCTCCACCGTTCTAAATCTACTTTATTGGAATTTTTAAAACTTGGCCCAAGACTTTATAAGCCCTCTCTAAGAATCTCACCCATTGTTTCTCTATGAGAGTGTGAATTTTCTGAGGATCGGTTATCTCCTAATTTTACTCATTTTTTATATTGCCTACTGACTATTGCATAGGACCTAGCAAGGGACAGACATTCAATAAATACTTCGTGGATGAATGATGTGTTATTGTGTATCCCACAAAGCAGTCCAAGAAAGAGTGATTGTTTAATACATGTTTTCTAAGTCGGATTGAAAAAAAAAATCATGATTTCTTCCTTGAACCATGAATCTGGTGACTGAAAGAGTGAGTCTGGTGGGCTGAGTCTGAGAACCGAAGATGATCCTCACAAATTCAAGAGAAACTAGCAAAAGGTTGAGGTTAGAGTGGCCCTGCACACCTCCCTGGCAAAGCTGTGAAGGTCACAAAGGTGGCTTATGTTTCAGGAGTATATCCTGGGTGAAGTTGGTGAGGGGCTGTGTTCTATGTTCAGATATGCTGGTGTTTTCATTTTCACATGGGTGGTCCATGGTAACTGGGAGCTGTCTTACATTGTATATCTAGGAAGGTCCAGGTTTACACTGTCCCACTGTGCTTCAGAGATGGCAGCCTGATTTCCCTACCTTCAAAGATATTGACTCATTAGAATTTCCAGGTTAATCATTGGAAAACTTTTATGCTTAAATAGTCTTTTGACTCTTCAGGAGTGAAGTTGTCAAGACCATCTTTACCCAAACACTCATAGTACCCTCAGGCAAACCAGAAAGGAATCTTTACCTATTTTTTTTTTTATTTTGAATCTCTCATTCAAGAGACCTTTCATCTCCATTCAAGCAAAAGGCAAGCTCGGGAGCTTTCCCATACTTGAAGCTTGACACCAGCTTCTTGATTTTCCTTGATTGAGCGACTAGAGGGCACAGAAGCCCAGAATACTCTCAGTGATTCTCAAGGTGGGGGCTGCTTGTGGCATTTATGGTAGGCCAATTCTTTGTTTTTCAGGACAGCCCCCTGCATTGCAGGGCATCTGGCATTTCTAGTCATTAAGTGCCAGTAGAAGCCCTCAGTTACTGTGATAATTAAAAAGTCCCCACACATTTCCAAACACTCCCAGCAAGTGGTACCACCCCTTGTTTAAAACACTAGTATAGAATTGTTGGAGTGACTGAGACTGAAATGACTGAACAATGCCTCTATTCTTTCCAGTTGCTAATATGGGTGGTAGAATTCCCACCCATAGGATGCACCATATAGTAGCTTTGCATTTACAGGTACAAAGAGTAATGGGGCATTTCAAGCACACTGTAAACCTTCTCAGACAATTCAGAGAGGCAAGTGTGGGGAGCCCCGCCAACGGACACAGATGGGGAGGAACGCCAGCCTTGTCATACTGATTTATCAATTATACATTGTCTTCAGCTTACTCTTTACTGTGTTCAATCTGATTTCCTAACCTCCTATGTACAGAGTTTGTTTTTCTGCCACGTCTTTATTATCCTGGATTTATTCTATTCCTGGAAATGTTAAAACCTCTAAACTCCTATGGGAAGATGCAGAACCAGAGAGATTTGTACAATTAACTGACACAGTTTAGAATATTTTAAAAGGCTTGACAATATTCGTGTCATCATGCCATTGATGTTTACTTTATTGCATGTTGGGATGTACATTAAACATTGTAGCAGCTTAATACTGTGGAAAGATTAAGATCAGAAGACCTGAGTCTCTGCCTTCGGGTCCTGCTACAAATTGGTTGGGTGACATTCATTGGCCAACTCACTTCCTTTCTCTGAACTTTAATTTCCTCATATGAAAAAACTATGGGGCTGGACTTTTAGGAATTCAAGTCATTCTTTGAATTTTGAAGTTTAAAATATATAGAATTTTGATGGATTAGAGAAAATAAAAGAGAAAGAGAGAAAGAGGAAGGAAGGAAAAGGAAGGAAGGAAAGAAGGAAGGAAGGAAAGAAGGAAGGAAGGAAAGGAAGGAAGGAAGGAAAAGGAAGGAAGGAAAGAAGGAAGGAAGGAAAGAAGGAAGGAAGGCAAGGAAGGAAGGAAGGAAGGAAGAGAGGGAGGGAGGGAGGGGGGGAGGGAACTCTAAGCCACTAACATAAATTGACCATCTTTTTACTTTTTCCTTACTTAACCAAAATGGCAGTATAGTTATAATAGACTGTGTGGACTGAATCTAAAAGTAAGTTTTATGTGGATGTGTATACAATTGTGGTTGTGTATTGTATACCATTCAAGGTCATACTGCTAGTTCTGCCCCATCATTAAATATCAGTGAAACTGTCAGAAATGTCCTATTTTGCACATTAGTTTAATGGCATATATTAAATCCGTTATACATTAAGCACCATGGACTAAAAAATGATTAAGACAAAATACATATCTTTGGGGAGCACACAATCTAGAGAGAGGGATAGGCATGTAAAGAGACACACAGTGCCTGATAAGTGCAGTGCTAGAGTGGGATTTGAGTGTCATGGCAGTAGCAAGTGAGATGTGCCACTTATCTATGGATGTTGAAGTCAGGAAAAGCTAGCCAGAAGAGGTAGCATGTGAGTAAGAATACACTAGGCCTTTAATTTGGTTGAACCTGACTCACACCTTCTCTTTGAAATCTCCTATTTATTTCGTCCCTCTTCCCTCAGTATGCTTTCCACTCAGTGATGGATGATGAAGTGGTGGAATAGATGTTAGTTGCTTTTCTTCTTTTTTTCCCCACTGCTATGAAGATCCCTCACCACCTTTTGTTGTACAAAGATGACACCACCTGAAGCATCCAGTCTCCGGATATCGCCAATAAGTTTTATTAATACAATTTATATTAAATCTGTTTTAGAATGTCTTGTTATGAGGTCTTTGATTCATATTTTACTGTCACTTGTTCATGAATCAAAAACCGTTGTTTTTTTTTTAAGTCTATCCTAAGCAGAATCTATCCTAACAATTTAGAATGTTTCAACAGACTTGTCCATATCGTATAGCAATATAGGGAGGCATGCCATACTTTAAGGTAGGGGGAAGAAGGTCAAGACTAACTTATAATATCTATGAAGCTGGCTCTCCTCAGAGAAGACAAATCTATAAATACTACCAAACATTTTGCAGTCGATGTTAAGAGTTTCCCAAACTTCCTGATGCTTACTATTGATCTTAGTTTACCAGATACAATCCTTTAAGGAAAAGAGAGACACTCATGGAAGTCAACTTTCCCAGGCTTATTAGAGAATGAAGAGTGTCCCTGTGGCTACCACATTCTTTCTTCCCCACACCCTTGTCTCTGCCCTTAGGCAGTCTGCTGTCCCTCAGCCTAGCCATCTGCTCTTAGCAGTGAGGGAGCAGCGTGGTAGCCATAAATCCTGGCAGACGTTGCAGTCTGGCAGTGTGAATGACAGCATGCAGTATGGAATCTTTGGCAAAGGATAAAGCTGTGGCTACAAATCCAAATACTGTAAACCAAATGATGGAGTAGAATGAAGTGCCTGGCTTTTTCTTTAACCGCCAGGTGATATTTCCAGAAGGAGCAATGCATCTTTGTCAGTGACTGTTAGATACTGATGTGTCGTGGTTATCTTAGAAAAGTAAGTGTAGGAGATCTCACTTCTTTCAGCCCTTTCCAGCATTTCTCATACTTCCTCCAGGATAGCTTGAGGCTTAACTTAAAGATACATTTATACAGCCTTGCAAAAATATCTGGGTTCTTTTGGTGTGTGTGTGTTGTGGGGGGCGTATAATTGATCATCCCCAAAATCATTTTAAGCAACACATTCAGTTCCATTTTTTTGAGTCCCAACTATATGTATGCAAAGACAGAAGAAAAAGACAATTACTTTTAGATCACTTTTTTTTTGGTCAACTTAGTAACTAGATAAAAGTGAACAGTCTGAAAATGTACCAAGCTTTTTCTGTTTAGGCTTTTTCTACAATTTAAGGCTTTATCTAGTGCCATGAGTGGTCAGGCATTGCAGGTATGAGTACATGCTCCAGGAATCATCAAGTTTATTGGTGAGTGGCAGAATTTGAGCTGAAGAGGAAGGATGGGACCAGACCTTAAGTGATGTAAATGCTATATATTTAAAATGTATTTTGAAGACTACCAAGAGTCAACCATGGTATAGCAAAGTCACATTTGTTCTTAGTACGATATATACCATATAAGAAGTTTAAGTTTCAGTCAATACGTCAAAAGTCCTTTGTTGTTCTGTAATGGAAGATCCCATGTAAGTGGCGAATGATAACCAAAATTAGATACTTACAGTCAAGCCTCCAGACTGCTTAAGATGTAGAATAGGCAGATGACAAAGGGCTGTGGATGCGCAGAATGTATTGTGCTCTTTAGACTCCCAGAGGACATTCCCCCTCTTAACTTTTCACCAGGTGGTCTTTTTGCTCAGCTTGCCCCAATATAAGTGTAGTTTTTGTCTGATTATATGTTAAATAGTAAAGCATATGGATGAGAGTTGTTTCCTGTGTTTTCTGTGTATGTAGGTGCTAAAGGCTGTATGTGGTAGACATTGGATATCTATCTATCTGTCTATCTATCTTTCTATCTATGTATACAAAATTCAAAATATCCAGATGAAATTTCAAATGTATTTTAAACCAGGTGAATGATTGAAAATATCATTGTATTTTGGCACTTCATAAGTAACCTCTTTATAATATTTTATTTTTATTTTATATTTTGTACCACCCCCAGCAAAACAATACATATATATCCTAAATCCAGATTATTTTATAGTTGTGTTTAAAGTTTAATTATATTTTAGATATAATTAATTTTATCAATTTATATACAATTAAATTTTAATTATATATTAATTTGGTATTCTTTAGATATTTTTTCCAGTCTATTGAAAATTTTTCAGACTTTTCTAGTGATAATAATTGTATAAAGCAGTAATTCCTTCATTAAATAAAGTTATTGCAAGACCCAAATCTTTTAACTTCAGTCACTCATAGTAACTATCAAAGGCATTTTAGATACCGTTCTAGGAGCTTTAAAATTATAGCTTTACTTCAGCCATGATACTAAGGGCAAATACCAGCCACAGACATTGATATCAATGGATTAAGCAACGTGAGTCCTAGGGCTTGGACTTTGGAACTGTGTCCAGGTTGAGTACTCCCAAACTTTGGTTTCCTGATCTTATAAAATGGAAATAATAACATGTGTTGCTTCTTGAGGAATCAAATCAGTAAGATCATGCAATACAAGAAGAATGAAAAATATTAAGGTATTTTCAAGCTTAAGCAAATTTACTAATAAAGAATAGTAATATAAATATATGCAATATTATAATGTGGATATTTATTGTATATATATATATATATATATATATATATATATATATATATATAAAAATCAAGGGAGTTAGTTAATGCTTTTTCATCTCTCTTTGATCTACTTAACCAATGAGCAATATTAGTCTATATTTTAAAAGCAGTTCCCTAAAGGAGAGTTCATGGAAGTGCCAAAGAATAATTACAATTACATGCATACACCAAGTTATTAGAGTAATAACATTTTGAAATATATATAGCCTCAGACATTAAATTTACTATAGTATTTATTTTTATTATTAATTGCAGGTACTGCATTATTTTCATTAAGGAAGCCAAGAGGCAAACAAGTTTTCAATGTTGAGGTGCAAATGATTTAACAAATTCCTGAAGGAGATTGACATGTTAATGATGTGTCAGTGAGCCACAATAATAATGTTGCCTTGCCTCAAAAACTATATTCTCTGCATTTCTGAAGCACTTTACACTTGCTTCAAGTCTAGCTGTGACCAAAATGTTTCCTAAAAGAATGTTTATAGTTCTCTCACATGCCCATTACATCATAAGGACTTTGAGAGCGGTTGCATTTGTTTAGCCACTGGCACATGATGGGCAAGTTATTGACTTACAGATCTGTATTTATATAACATTCTTTACTTTTTGCAGTGTGCATTCGTACATAAAATCTCATTCCATTGTTTTCAACAACTTTCTAGGTAACTATTTCCTCAGTTAGGTGACTTGCCCAAGGGATCTCTTCCAGTAACTGGTAAAACCATAACTTCTGATTCCTAGTCTAGTGTAGTCATCACTGATGAATTTTGCCTGTATGAATCTTTGCTGCCTGAATTTTTGAGTTCTGACTGAAAGGCATCCCTGCAGGGTGAGGACAGGTAGTTTTCTATCTCAATGTTCCTTTTCAACGTTGGCACTCAACCCCCACCCTTTTCTGCTCATCACATTAGGGCCAGAATTGCTGAAATGTGAAATGAAATCTACGGCAATTTATTACCGTTTATGAGAGACTCTGTGACATGGCTGAGCCGACTTGCCTTCTACTATCCTGTGGAAGAGATCTGAAAGGATTGGCAAATAGATTAATTTAAGGCCGCTTTTGCTGACACTGGTTACCTCTAAATGGATAATCATTTATCAGTAAATTACTTTTTCTGAGCCAGGTAATTTCTGATCAACATGTTCATTCTCCTTCTCTCTCTCCATTCCCTCCATTCCTCTTTCCCCCACCCACTCCTCTTTTGTTTTTTCTTTCGTTTTTCTCTTTCTCTTCCTCACAGACTCACACACATGCATACTCACTTGCTGCCTTTTGCTTTCACTCTCTCATTCTCACCGACACACATATACGTACACACATGCACAACACCTCAATATACCTGCCTTCCAAAGTAAGCATTAGTTGAGACATCTATATATTAATAAAAATTTCATTTCTATTTTCTGAGCCACAGTCAAAATGTAAATGGCCTCAAGATAGAAGTTATAATGTACATTATAAGGAGGGGATGGGTACTAAGTAAAGAGAAACAAGAGGTAGTGCTGTTGCAGTAATCTAAACCAGGTTAGAATTTCATTAGCACTGCAGCATTTTGCAGACCATGACAAACTGGTGAAACTTGATCTTGGATGTCATCATCAAACAGTATGCTTTATAAGTGCCTTTCTGCCCACATAATGATGAACAACTCTGTTAAGCCTACACCCCCTTGTACACTGAGAGTTTGTCTGCTCTGGGAAGGAAAAGATAGGAAAGAATCTCAAGGCTTTTTCAAGTCTGAAATGAAATGCTAAGCTACACATTTAGAAAGGCTGGAGAAAGAGAAGAGATAAAAATTTAGCTGGAATAGTATGTTATAGAATTTAAGTGAAATTATAACTTTGGAATTTTGTTAACTCATGGATGGCAGAAACTAATGCCAACTTGGAGTTGAGTTTCCTCTCAGCTTCAATTTGTTGTGATACAACTCGTCTCTTGGACTTTTTTGATAGATAGGAATGACATTTCTAGGACAAAACAATCTTGTCCCTGTAGTATGCCATCATAGGCATAATGTCTTCCATTGTCGATAACTAATTACCATTCGTCTTGTTATCTCCTTTCTTTTTTATATTGTATATTAAGAAAGTAAAACTCTCCCCTGAATTAAACTTGTTGGTTAAAACAGTCTTACGTGTTGCTGAGCTTTGGGAGAAAGAGGGTGCTGATTTGATTCACCAGGGTCAGGCTCAATGTGCTTAGAGAGCTGTCTTAGAATTTTGGCAGTTTGGCTGCAGAGAGGGCCCTGATGCTATTCCTCGAATGGCTGAGATTTGGAAGTGCTGATCTGAACAAGGAGAAGAAAAGGGCTGTTAGTAACTTTCGTTTTATCTCCTTGAGCACTTGAAATACATTTGCATTTGGGCTATCAGTGTGTACCTATTAAAGGCCTACTTAGGCCCCAACATTTTACTGGTCATTTAGGTTACCAGTGAGGGGAAAAAAAATAACTCCAGCACTGTAGAAATTCTTGTTCCTCAGTACATGTGTGCTACTCTGTTTTATTAATGAATGCAGCATATGCTGGTACTAAAGTGCAGATTCCTTATGGGAAAGGTCTATGCACAACCCTAGCATCTAACACAATACCTCACACTCCCAATAAGTATGTTCCCAAGGAAAGACTGCGTGACTTATTTAATAACTAAAAGCAGGTTATATGCTAAGTAGGTGTTGTGCTCAGTTTTTAGTTTGTGAGAACCCTAAAGAACAGAGTGATACACACACTCTAAGAACTGGGTTATCATTGGAGATAGACTGTTGCGGGGGAAAGAAGCAAAGTGGGAATCAAATCCCACATGAAAGCATCACTGTAGAGGCCTTCCTCATGAGACAAATGGAGCTTTTGTTGATGTTTCCCACAGAAACACACATGCTTCAAGGCAACTGGCAGTCACTCAATGTGGTCAGTGTTCAATTTTACGTCCTCAGCTATCCCCTTTTCCTCCACTGCAGGCATCTGTGCTGAGTATATTCCTTAACACTCTCCCCATAGGCCTGCCTATTCTCTCTTTTTTCCCCATCAATATCCTTTCTAATACCCACTGTCAGAGCCACTAAAAACTGCGAGGTTTGTTTCTTGACAAATGTCCCATTTTCACAGGCAGTTGAACCGAACTGCAGCTTGTGCTCCGTTCAAACATGTCAATAAACATTATTGCAAAGACGTAGAAGCAATAATGGGAATGTATAAAACTCACCTTTATTGCTTCTTGCCATGAATTTACACGCTGCTCTAAGCAGCTTTCACTCCCTCAAGAAGCTGTAGGAAATCTGTTTTGGGTTGTGGGGGCAAAGATACTGATTTGTTTGCAATCTTCTCTGGATCCTAGAAGCAGAAGGTGGCAATGCCTATCAACTTATTGAATATATGCTCATTCTTTCATACCATAATGGTCTTTTATAAATAATGCTAGTTGTCACAGGTAAGAAGAGGATCTTGAAGAGTGGAACATCCCATGTCACAGAGCAGCAACACTCACAAGAAAGGATCCCAAGCATGGTGATATGCTAAACCTAGGTTTCTATGTCTGTAAATCTGCTGTACTGAAGGTAACGTTGTATGGACTGAATGTAAAACAAAGAGACTGGTTATGGCGGTGGGAGAGAGACTTCACTCTAATGTATTCCACTCTCAAACTGAAGACTTAGGGCCTGTAGCTCTTTGGTGTCTTCAAATGAGTTATGAGATAGATATTAGAATGCAAAGTGATTCTTTGTGGATAGTGTCAGGGTGAGGATTGCTATATCCCTGAGGGTGGGACATGTCAGGGATTAGTGTGTCCTGAGGTGAAATGTTTCAGAAGCGTTTCTGAGTAGGGTTATGACCCCATAGCAATAGGTTCCACAGACAAGAAACATTCCCTGCAAATAGACCAACCTGCATTTGTATAGATTTAATTCTGCAGGTGATTAAGTTAAGCCAAAGAAGCACTCTGAGAATCAGTGTCAGAGTCTCCCCTAATCCTTCCTAATCCTGTGTGTGTGTGTTCCATTATATTATGCTGTATTGTTTAGATGTCCTTTGCTGCAGGGACTTTCAGATATTTTAGGGCTAAGGCCTATTCTATGATTGCCACTTCCGTTTTAGTTTCTCTTTTCTACTTTCCAGAGCCAATAAGAGCATTTGGAATCATATCAGTCTCACATATCAGCTCCTATTATATCAAATGATCTTTGGAATTTTGCAATAAAAATGAATCAAAAGACATATGTTTTGTATACCATGAATGGCCACAGTTGACTTTGTGGTGGAAAATAATACAGCCTTAAAAAAAATTTAAAGAAGAAAAGCATTACCAGAATAATCTCTATCCTTTCTGATAATGTGACAGTACCAACTGGGTAAAAAGGATAATAGAAGAAAAAAATGTATATTAACTTTTTTGATAATTTTGATTCTGTATGACATACTCTCCAATGACATTTCAACATTCATTCAATCAATCAATATTTACTGAGCCTGTTATGTGCCAAACACTATGTTAGATACTAGGCTGTTTTAAGAAATTAGTTAGAATGGGGAATACCCTTTTCTCTTTCCTCACTCTAATTCATTAATTAGTTATTTTTAATCACAGTGAACAAACATTCAGAAATGAGAGGCAGAATTCAATCACAAGTGTATTTTTAACAAAGTGCCCTTTATTCTCTATTCAAGATAAGATTAAATAATAATCTGATTATTTCTGCACTGGTTTCTCAACTTTCTGACTATAGAGTTTCTTTAGTTTCAAAAGTCCAAGCAATATAGAACCTTTACTCAAATCCCAAGAGGAATGGACAGAAACAGGTCTGTCTATATCAAGCTCTGTAGACACAAACTTGCTGGCTGCTCCAACAGTCATGGTGGCCCAAATCCTACTTTTCTAAACTAGATTGTTTTTACTGACCACAGACAATGGGAATTTTCTTTGAGTCATTCAAAGCATGGATGGGAGGACTGCCTGTATTCTCTAATAAGAATATTTCAAAATAGCAGGCTGGCACAGAGGTCGATAGAACAGACATCATCTTTCCTTTATTCCCCAGAAGGGGATAGGCATTGATCTGGCAACTGCTATTAGTGCTATGATGGAGAAGCACTAAGGGGGTAGTGAGCAGATAGAAAATATTGCAGTATACAGGGAGATCAGGGAAATGGCCTTTAAGTAGAACTTAAAAGTATGAGCAGGAGGTAGTCAATAGAAGGAGAAGCTTTGGGCAGATATTCCAGAGAGAAATGCCCAGAGAGAAGAAATCATGGCATATTTGAGGAACAATATGAAGATGAATATGGCCAGAGCAGACATGTGTAGGGCTCAAGCATGAGGGAGGTATGAGAACACTCTTAACTCTGGGTAGATAGCTGGATCCAGATCATGGAAAGCCTAATCAGAAAAAAATTTTTTAAAGAATATTGACTTAATGTTTTAGAGATGAAAGTCATGAAAGAGTTTAAGCAGGATACTGTCTTAAAATAAAATGCGTGTATGTAAATACATCATATATATTTCACTTTTTCATAGCAGGTGCCCATATTATTTCCTTCAATTAATTACTTTCAGAGTCCTTTTACTTCTTCACTCATGTTCATTCAACCACATCAACATCCGTCCACTCCCCAATATTCTCAGTAGCCAAAGCTACACTGTGCAATTTTGACTCTTGCAAGTCAGTACAAAAGAAAAGACAAGTCCTGGGGCTTCCTGATACTGTCACCTCAAATTTTGTGCTGGACAGCCCAATAGTCAAGCAATTATTGTCATTATTATTTGCTCGGGTGCTGGGTAAACAGTCAGACACTTTCTAAGATAGAGCTGGGATGAGTTGGTATTAGAAATAAAGTCGGAACAAAAGCAGGGCCCTGCCTGGTCCTAGAATAAGAGATTAGTTGTGACACAGTTTTGGGAAATCACAAGGATGGGATAGAGAATAATAGTATTTTAGTATGCATGATTGCTATGATTTGGCTGTGTCCCCACCCAAATCTCACCTTGAACTGTAATAATCCCCACATGTCAAGGGCAGGGCCAGGTGGAGATAACTGAATCATGGGGGAAGTTCCCCCATACTGTTCTCGTGGTAGTGAATAAGTCTCATGAGATCTGATGGTTTTATAAATGGGAGTTCCCCCTTCACAAGCTCTCTTACCTGCTGCCATGTAAAACTTGCCTTTGCTTCTCCTTTGCTTTCTTCCATGATTGTGAGGCTTCCCTAGCCATGTGGAACTGTGAATCCATTAAACATCTTTCCTTTATAAATTACTCAGTCTCAGGTATGTCTTTATTGGCAGCATGAGAACAGACTAATACAATAATATTAGTAATGGAAAGTATTCAAATGAATCTTTAAATAAATCTTTTAGAAACTCAGTATCCTGCCTCATGGTTTGTAGTTTGTTGTTAGTACCATCATGAAGCAAACCCAACAGTAATTCGTGTTACCTAAGTCCTCAGAGATGTCAGCACAGAACTTAAGAATGCTAAGAATGCTATCCTGAAGCTCTGTCTCTTAAATAATGGTTTTGATAGCTCATAAGAGCTAAGTAGTGTGGAGGATAAAAGATGAAAAGTGTGATCAAATGTCTTTGGTGTTCTAGATTGCAAGCTTCTCAACTCCTCACAGTCCATTTCTGTTTTCACTGTGGCACTTCCCTTTCTGTTCTTGATATCTGAAATTTGTCCATATGACTGTTGCCCTACCAGATAATGTTTAAATAGTGGTTGGTCTGATTCATGGTAGCTTATCTATCTAATCAAGGGACATAAACGAGATTATAATACACTGATCCACTAATTTTGCACGGCGTTAGGACAGCCTTCACTGGTTTGGATCAATTGAATGTTAAGATTTCATAAACAATGTTCCCACATGGGTATCCATTTGTAAATTTGGCCACATTGTATTGCATTTTTATTCTAGAGTTTCCCTAGGTTCCTCAGAGAATTGCTCTGCCAAAGACCTATACAGCCTCTAGCTCTAATGTTCTGGCAATATTGACAGATGAAGCAGAGGGGACATAGACAGGCACTGAATACAAAAATAATTTCTTCTCCAGCTACAATCTTGAATGAAACACAATTTATGCATCATATGAACAGAGTATTTTGTACAGGAAAGAGAGAGAAAAAGAGGATGAGAAAAAAAGAGGAAAAGAGGAAAGAAAGGCAGAGGGGAGACGAGAAGAGGTTGCCTTGGGAGAATTATAGGAGATACTTCCTCTAGTGGCTGTAGGAGTGAGATTGTTGTTACTCTAGAGAGTTCTTCCTTAGGTTATCACGTATAACTGTATTCATCAAGAGTAGTTTCAGCTTTGCTGTGAGTATTCTAAGGATAATCATCTTATCATGAGTATTTCTTACATTATCACGAATTTAAAGGAAAAGGTGACCTCTGTCCTGATAGCATTTGGCCTCAAAAGGGCAAATGGACATTTGAAACTATAATATGCCCAGATAATGGGAAACAATTTTACTTTTGCAACTACTGTTTTGCTTATGCTTAGTTTTAGTTTTAGGTTTCCTGGTAAAGAAGTTTGAGTGGAGAATTTGAAAGGAACTGTATCTTGTGCCTATGGCACAGATAGCTTTCATTCAATAAATGGACCAAATTGGAATAACCACAACCCAGAGCTGCTTGTGCTCATGGAAGTCATACAAGTTCTGGCAAAGGATATTCTGGCTGCAGGTGATGGAGAGTAGTCCAGGCTTTCATTTCATTTTATTTTACTTTTTTGAGGCGGAGTCTCTTCTGTCACCCAGGCTGGAGTACAGTGGTGCGATCTTGGCTCACTGCAACCTCCACCTCCTGGGTTCAAGTAATTCTCCTGCCTCAGCTTCCCTTGTAGCTGGGATTACTGGTGTGAACCACCACACATGGCTAATTTTTTTGTATTTTTAGTAGAGATGGGGTTTCACCATGTTGGCCAGGCTGATCTGGAACTCCTGACCTCAGGTGATCCACCTGCCTCAGCTTCCCAAAATGCTAGGACTACAGGCATGAGCCAATGCGCCTGGCCTAGTTCAGGCTTTCAGACACAGTATGTGAGAGCATAGACTGGAAAGCAGATGGAGAAGTATGCATGGATGAAGACAAAACCAGCATTTTCTTAGATGTTTATCCAACCAGGAAATGCAGAGTGGGATAGTGGCAATAAGGATGACTATCAGCATTTGGATCACCTCCAGTCTCAGGTCAGGGCTCCAGTCTCAGGAATTTGGTTTGGAGAGGGAGACTTGCAGTTTCTGGGTGATGAGAAAGAACGAACTATCAACAGCAAGGCAGAGTTTTAATATAAGGTGGTATAGTTAGTGCAGAACTAGAGTTTAAACCTCAACTTCTGCCTCCTCATTCAGTGCTCTTCCAGTTTTTCAGGCTGTGCTTGGATATTGGGCTGCAGGATGCCAGTGGAGTACGTTGGCACTCAATGTAGTAGCTTAGCTGTTCCCTCTGTGCATCCTACATGCCTGCTGC
Source organism: Homo sapiens (assembly GCF_000001405.40). NCBI lineage: Eukaryota > Metazoa > Chordata > Mammalia > Primates > Hominidae > Homo > Homo sapiens. Next base: position 117,746,325 of record NC_000003.12, on the reverse strand, counting down.
CATGATCCTTGCCCTGCCACACTTGGCAGTTTGCGTGCAGCTCTCACACTGCCAGAAGCCTCCTAGTTGGTAGGAAGCTGATATTTCCTCAGAGACCATTCTGCTCACTTGGCACAGCTCAAATCACATCTCTTGGCTTCTGTCCTCTGCTCTCCTGTTCTACCCAAATGCATTGCCCTTGCCAGTTGGTGAGCTTCAGTTAAACCCATGCCGCAGATATTGCCCATCTCATGTTCCCCTGGATGTACTGATTCTGCCTTTGGATCCACTGTGACTACCCCATTGACTGGCTTGCCTTGCTGCCAGTGGGCTGGCCTGCCCTGATTTAGATGTTTTCCATTGAGCCATCCCCCATTTGACTGGCAATTTATTGTCTGTGTTAGTGGCACATTCCTTCCAAGGGGGCTTCTGCCACCGTGGCCTCCATCTTCGACTTCCACTGGCTTTTTCATGGCTTTCACCATTGACTTGGCGGGACTTACCCTTAGCAATCAATTGCTTCCATATTGTGGCTGGCCTTCTCTCATACTGGCCGCCTCCTGCTAACTGCTGCTTCGTCTGACTCTGATGCCCACATCTCTCACCTGTGATGTGTTCTTCAAAACACATTAACTTCCATTTGACTGACTCACGGCTGCTGAGAATGTTTCACAGTATTACCTGGAATGTTTCTTATGTATGATGGTAATTGTTAAATATCTGATTCTCACCATTATCAGATATTAGCAGACAATATTTCTCTCCCCAGAAATACTATATTCATCATTTTACTCATGACTAAGAAACCAGTTAACATCTATTGAACACCTACTAATTGCCAAATTCTGATCTCTCTTTACTGTACAGTTTGTTATTTATGAGAGACTCTTGGGGACTCACGGCTTTTTCATCTCAGGAAAATCTTGAAAAAAATCCAGTCCATCTCTTTTACTTTAGACATGGAAACGCCACAATTATTTCAGACAAATGAGTATTGAATTTCTAAAACCCTCAGGAAGAAGCTCTAGGAAACCCATTCTGGTATTTAATAGCATTTTCTGTTGGTAATATGTCAAAACCAAGGTAATATCTTATGTCTCTCCCACCCTGCACATACAAAGTCTGTAGCCTTTCTGCCATCAGTGGCCATAAGTCACAGTTTATATTTTCTTTAAAATGTCTCTTCAAAACAACTGCTAAGTGCTGACATGTTATTTTTTATTTTATCATGACTACATGGTTCAAATTTTGTTAACCTTTTTTTCCCTTTAAAGATTTGTTTGATTTGTTATCTAACTTGTAATTAAGACCGTGGCTTTGTGTACATGTGAGGCACAAGCCTGCAGCAGACTCAGAGTGCCTAATTAATAAAAACAAAACAAAACAAAATGAAAATGAACCAACCAGCAAAAAAAATGTAGGGACTGTCAATTTGGAAGTCTAGTATTAGCGTTATTTGAGGTTGCTCCCTGGAATCATGCTACACCTGTGCTTAAATATCAGTGGTTTTTTTAATAAACCTTCTAACATCCAAAGTCCTCCCCACAGCCATGAAGCTCTGCATGATGGGACCCTTCCTCCCTGGCAAATCTAGCTCTTCCTCTTATTCATTCTGCTCCAGGTTTACTGGGAGGCCTATAGGTCCTCAAAGATCTTTGCTGCTGCCTCTACCTGAAATTCTTTTCATCTCTCTTCACAGGCTGACTCTGCTATCTTTTAAGGTTTTGGCTTAAGTGTTATCTTCTCATAGGAGCCAACATGACTACCCCATATCTTGTTTTCTTTGTTGCACTGTCCAATCCCCGTCTGCTTCCCTTTACGGCATCTTCAAATTGGTCATTGAATGTTTGTTTGTTATATATGTGTTGTCTCTTGCCTTACCCGATCATGAGCTCCATTAGAGCAGAAACATTTATTATATAGCCTAGTATTAGGTCCATAGTAGGCATTTAATAAATACTTACTGAATAAATCGTAAACAGAATAATTAATCTATTGGCTGTGAAAGAAGGAAACCCTGTGAGTTCCTGGCATTTCTTTGATATTGGAACAGTGCTATAGAAGAATCTGCTCCTAAATTTGCAGTCTATCTTTCCCAGCCATGCAGAAAAGTAGAGAAGCTAGAAGCCAAGTCTAGACTGCCAAGATTTGAAACAGCAAGCTTGTCCTGGAGACTATCATCACTTCACATGCTTAAGGCTGCAGTTAATTTAGAGCTAGTTAAGCTGACATCTTGTTTCCAGTACAAGAACAGGATAGAAAGACTCAAACAAAATAAGATAAAAGAAGGTAAAGGGAAATGATTTAAAAATTAACTTGATAGGCTTGATACTCAGTTATCTGCCCTTTTCTTTCTTTGTATCTTCCTTTGCAGGACTCATTCATTCTTATGTCACCAAATACCTTCTTACTATTTCATTTCAAAACTGTACTTCTAATTCCGTTTGTTCTTACTGTCTGCAGGTACAGGTGTGCAGAGTCTTGCTAAACATTACCATCTTGGCATTCTTCTGTTGCTGTAAATGTAACAGATCTGAAACTAGTGCAGTAACTTTACTTATTCAATAGTATTTATTGAATCCCTGTAATGTGCCAGACACTATTCTGTTCACTCATGGTACAATGACCAGCAAGTACCCATTCTAGCAGAGAGTATTGATGATAAACAAATTATCATAAAATAAATGTGCAGTTACTAGTTACCATAAATGCTACTAAAACGTAATGTGCTATGAGAAGGTGTGACAGGGATCTGTAATTTAGTTTGGGAAGTTATGGAATTCTTCTGTGGGGAAATGAGATCTGAAAGTGAGAGGTGAAGCCAGCTGGACCTCCTGGGTGGAGTGGAGACTTGGAGAACTTTTCTGTCTTACAAGAGGATTGTAAAACACACCAACTAGCACTCTGTAGGTAGGATTGTAAAACGCTCCAATTAGCACTCTGTGGCTAGCAAGGGGATTGTAAAATGCACCCAGCACTCTGTAAAATGGACCAATCAGCAGGATCCTAAAAGTAGCCAGTTGCAGGGAGGATTGAAAAAAGGACACTCTGATAGGACAAAAACGGAACATGGGAGGTGACAAATAAGGGAATAAAAGTTGGCCACCCTAGCCAGCAGCAGCAACCCACTCGGGTCCCCTTCCACGCTATGGAAGCTTTGTTCTTTCACTCTTCACAATAAATCTTGCTGCTGCTCACTCTTTGGGTCCGTGCCATCTTTAACTGTAACACTTACCGCGAAGGTCCGTGGCTCCATTCTTGAAGTTAGCGAGACCACGAACCCACCAGAAGGAACCAACTCTGGACACAAAAGATGACTAAAATTTGGTGAGAGAGAGGAGAAAACATATATTAGGCAGGAGGAAAGTATGTGTGAATACTTAAAACGTGGAAGAGGTTGTCGTATTTAAAAAAATAAAAAGTATTCTGGATTGTGATGAGAGAGGCGTAAGTGGTAACATAGGCAGTGTCCCCTAGATATTTTGCTTTCCCAACCTTGACATTGCAATTCTCTTTTTTATTTATGATTTGTTCATCTATTTAGTCTCCTATAGCCAGTCACCAAGGCCAAGCAATTCTTCCTTCTTTTTGTACTTGTGTATTGTTCCTAGCATTACTCTAATGAATAAACAGATAGATTCTGTATATTTAGTCTCTTTTTAAAAAGATCAAATATAGGACATTTTTATTACAAAAATGAATACTATTTTGAAAATACACAAACAATGCACGTTCATTGTAGCACAACCAGAAAGTACAAATATGAAAAAAAATTACTTCCTCTCTCCCTCTCTCTCTGCCCACTCCAAAAGTTTTGTGCACATCATTCCATTATATCTGCAGGACACACACACACACACACATGCACACACACACACACACACACACACAGAATTATACAGTTTTGTAAACTGCTTTTTTCTACACTTAAAGTTTGTATTAGATAAGCTAAATAGAATTCCTAGAACAACTCATACAGTTATGATTCTTTTTCTCAACATTTTTATGAAAATTTCCAACATACTAAAAAGCTTTAAAAAACTGTACAGTGAACACCATATGCTCATCACCTTAATTCTATAATTAGCATTTTGCAAAATGTTAAATTACTTTATCGTCTCTTTATCTAGCCATATTTTTATTCACGCATCAATTTCTGATACATTTTCCTACATATTTTCAGATAAGTCTCAATGTTTTTACTGAGTAATAGATGTGCTTTATGTATCCTTGTTACCAGTCCTTTGTCAGTTATATGCTATGTGAGTATTTTCTCCCAGTCTATGGCTTGCTTATTCATTTTCTTAATGATGTGTTGGTAAATATACTTTCTAATTTTGATGAAGTCTAATGTATCATGTTATTTTTCTTTGTAATTATTGCTTTCTCCATCCAGTTTTTTAAAAACTTTGTCTTCCTTCAATTATACAATTTTATATTAGCCTCATTTTACATTTCATCTTGTTGGTTTCAGCCCAGTATTCCAACCTGTATAAATTATTTTGAGTCAAATTCCTATCTTACGCTATATTAGATATTGTTTTCAGCTTTGTATCACCTGCAAATTTACAAGTCATTGGATGTTGAATGGAGAAGAACCTTTTTTCAAGTGTAATTAGAACCAAGTTTGCATTTTACCATCTTAATTTTCAAGACATCATAAGATGCAAAGTTAAATTATCTGCAAAATCACTGGCACAGGGGACTGGTAGTAGCAGTGTTCTCTTTTACTACTTGAGAGCCTGATTTCTGAGGTTTGATATTCTTTTATTGACTTACCTATTGACACCTGGTGTTTATTGTCTTTTTTCCTGAATAGAGTTTATTCCTCTCTAAATTGTCTGTTACCCCACTGTAGTGTGAGGTCCATTGGAGTGGACATCTTGTATCATAGTCACCACCACGTATCCAGCAACATAGGGACACATTAATGAATATTTGTCAACTAGATTAATAAGCAAATGTCTAAAAATCTTCTATTTAATATTTTTTCTAGATTTTTTTCTATAAATTACCTATCTTCTTGGCCTGAAATTTAGGAAATTTACCACTTTATCTTTTTGACATCTGGGATGTTTTCCTGGCTCTCATATTTTGTTAACCAACTGTTCTGTTCTCCATTACCTTTCCAAATATACTGACACAAATATTAGATTATGTGAACAAGTCTCTTTAGAACCTGGGATGTAATTTGTCTAACAATGAAGACTTGAATATATTGAACCCAATCTGAACAGTCTCTATGTTAGGTACTAAATATACATGTTCTAAAATGTTTCTGTACACAATTACTTCACAACTTAATAGCATGTAAGTTGATACCTAATGATTTGAAATAGTTTCCTTATGTCCTTCCATATTAATAAAGAACAACCCATTAACAATTGAGACCTGAGCAGAGACACACATCAGTCATGTTTTCACTTACTATCTGGCCTGCTCTACTATCTCTCATCCCTCTGTAAGAGATGCATTTAAATGGAAAGGATCACTAAAAATAAAAATATTTAAATAAAAATATTTTAGTGCATGTTAATCTGTAAGTAAACTGGCGGATGTGTCATCTAGAAATCCAGCTCAAAGTTAGACACTTTAGATGATAATAAGATGAAGGCTTAGCTCCATTCTTGAATGAAGAATTGCTGTAGGAATAATATCTACAAAATTAATAGCTAATGTGAAGTTATTAGGTCCTAAATACTAGTAAAAAAATTGTGAAATTCTTGAAAAAGAGAAGGCAGCCTTAATTGATAGAGGTATAGAAAATTCATGATGAATATTAGTTTGCTATAGAAAAAGAATGAGGCATTCCAGGTTGGAGAAAGGGCAGAGTGAAGGTGCTTGGGCAGGAATGTGCTTGGAAAATGAGCAGACTAACCAGAGATAAGTTGGTCTTCTCAGGGACCCTTGGGAAATGTGACTGCAGGATTTCAATAAGGCCCTAAAGTGCAAGAATGAGAGTTTTGGACTTGAGTCTGAAAGACGAGAATAAAATGCTATAAATGCTTGTTCAGGAGAGTGACTTAATAAAATAAAAATGTTTGAAGTATGTCAGTGCTATTTAAGGTAGGTAATGTGGAAGTGATACATAGAAGAGGCAGCTATAAAATTAACGCAAGTAAAGATAATTAAATAAAGAAAGTGGCAAAAGGCATAGGACATTAAAAAGAAAGAGAAAGAAATGATATCCAATTACCCTAATTTGATCATTGTATGTCATATACATGTATCAAAATAAAATATGTACCCCCAAAATATATACAACTATTATATATCAATAAAAAATAGATAACTTAAATATTGGGTTGAGGTGGATAAAAGCATCACAGGTTTTTTTTCTTAAATTTCAAGTCCAGTGGACTTGGAAAAGCTTCTTCATTTGCTGGAATGGGCTGATCTTGGGAAACAAGTTGAAGTGGTTATGGATATAAATACAATTGAGGTGAAGATATCAAGGAAGAGCTATCCAGTAGGTTTTGGAGGACTTGTGGAAAGCCAGTGCTGGAGAGAAAGATTTGGAGGTAATTTGCTTAAGAAGAAAATATGATCAAAGAAAAAAAATATGAGCCCTGTCATAGAGAACAATAAATGGGTGCAGAGCAGTCAGTGGTTTTACCCCAGAGGAAGGTCACGTTGAAGCAAGAAAAACTGTAATTACTGAGATTAAGATAGAAATAGTAATTCATGAACCGAGAGAACAAAGTTAATGCAGTAATGCATAAACCGAAGGAGGAAGATGGTCAAAATATGTGGCAGAACATTTAAGGAGGATGAGGGAGCCGCTGGATGTGATAAGAAGCTAATCGTGTCCTTTTTATAAGTAAGGAAGCTGACGTACCCAGGCAAAGCTAATCCAGCCTCACTCCTAGGATTATATACAAGAAGCATGTAAGTGAGTTGTTCCCAAATACAATGGTGATAATCTTTTTCACAAGTCAATGTCAAAATGAGAAATATAAGGATAGTGCATTTATATAAAGCAGTGTAAGACATGCTCTGTCCTGCACACCTTTCTAAATTACTACAATCCTTCCATTATTATGACATTAGGGAGATCATAGATGATGACTGGCATATATTTAGTTGAAAAAATAAATGATAGCCACTGTTTTACTAGCGTGAGGTCTGGTAATAATGATCTGATAATATATTTGCTTTCCTTGGGCTTGTTCTCTAGAACATGAAGTGGGATATTTTTGCATAGGGTCTTCTTTCTGTGTTCACCAACTACTGGCAGTCAGAAGGTAGGATAAATAAAAATTTATTCCACTTGAGTTGTTGAAAGATACTCATATTAACACAAAATCACCATATCCTGACAATGTTAAAGCCCAGCTGCAGGTTCAGAGCCCTGTCTGTCACTTATCTTAAGCTTCTAGGGAGAATAAAGATCAAGTATCTCTGAAGCAGTGTTTAGTGTCATAGCTATTTCTGAAGAGACAGGTTTTTTTCCCCCACTAAATCCCTTGCACAGTATTATCATCTGAGTCTCCATCGGGTGATTTTCTTGAGGTTCTTGGCTGTTTAAGTACAGGCAGATTGGCTGTGGCGAAGAGTAAAAATTTTTTTAGAGACATAAGAAATAGCTCCTTGTTATAGATCCCTTCACCTCTTTTGAGGATTGACCCTTTGCAAGCCATTTTCTGTGTCTTTTAAATAATAACTTTAGTAATAACAGTACCAAAAATAGATCACACTCTTGTTGTTTTGTTTTACCCTCATGCCATACTCTATGCAATTATTTTACATAGATAAAATTATTTTCTGTTTTCCAATAACCTTATAAGTTGAATTTTATACTTATTACAGTTTAACATAAGAATTTTGAACCCCAGAGGGGTTAAATAACTTTTCAGCATGGCTAGTAAATTCCTACACAAGGATTTAAACCAAGAGTCTGGCTCCAAATCCATTGTTATTCAACCTTACAATTCACTGCCTCGTGGAAAAAAAAAATGTATATGAAAAACATTAGCTTACCTAAGTCAATATGCTCGTATTCCAACTGTGCTATCATATTCAAAATATTTCTAGAACTCTCTTTTCAGAATCTTCTCTAGCCATGTTTATTTTAAATATGTTCAGGGATGGTAAAACTTTGTTTTAGAGAATAAAGTAAACATTTGGAAGTGATCAGTATCAAAGTCAAAAACACTATAAATGGACAAAAAGGCAATTCTTAGCAGGGTGTCCTAAAAATGTATTTGACCATGGAATGTATTATTTGAAATAAATATATGTACTTCATAAAGTGACTGACTTGGAAAGGAGGGGACTCATTGAATGTTTTGCCCGTAAGAAAATCAGTCACACTGGTTGTGGTCATAGTATTGAATCCCTCTCAACTTTATCTTAATAAAGACCCTTCTGTTCTCGTGGTGAAAGCCAAATAGTAGACCTTTCCTTCCTTGTAGTGCTTCAATGCAAGCAAGATTCAAACTCTTGGCTACGCTTTCTGATGCCCTCACTATGTTGATGGGAAACCTGAATTGGTACAAAAGTAATTCATATGAAGGAAAACTAAACAGTAAGCACAATTTTCTCTAGTCTGTTTGCTAATGATGTATAATCCTGGCTTGATAAAGTTAGAGCTACTCATTTTGATTGCAGTAACTAGAGGTCGAGTAACTATATCATTTAACCTCCCAGTTTCTTTTCTCTCGGTCATTGAATAAGAAATAAATTAAGTTCTATGTGATTTCAGAGGAAATCATAACAGTTGGTGTGAATTTCCCCTTGCACGTGACAAAACATAAACTCGTCAACATCCTGGAAGGCAGATAAATGGGCAGTTCTTTCCATTCTGCCTACTGAGGTTCAGAAAGGTGAACTGACACTTTCAAAGGCACACTGTAGATACACTGTTTACAGCAGGAAACAGAAGCCAGCACTTCAGTTACTATTCAGCAATATATGAAATTGGACATCTTTTAAATCAAAGGATGGACTCTATGTAGGGTAACTATGTTACCAACATTTTTAGTAGGTACTATATGGCCCCATCATAAAATGTGTATCACTTGTTACTTGGCAATGGAAAAGGAGAATCAACCACATGTTCTCAGGAAAGGGGCCTCTAAGCATAAGGTCTCAACCAGTTATTGTCAGGTTAATTCAAAATTAATGATGGAAAATTGGGAGGACAGTTAAACCTTCAATTCTGAGAGAACAGGACTGACTTGTTTCTTGACCCAAATAATGAATCATTTCTCACCCTCACCTGTGATGCAAACTACTCATTTACTAGTGGTTCCTTTCCCCTCTCAGTATTCCATCTGCATAGTAACACCAGCTGACACATAGGAAAGGAAGAGAAAGAGAACAAGTTGGCAGGGAGTCAATATATTTCGTTGTTTTATTATTACGGAACTCTAGTAGCATTTAGTTGGTGAGTCTGAACAGAAAATGAGTATTTCGAAACTGACTCTGTTATCAGGGGAAATGATTAAAGGCACAACAACAACAACAAAAATCCATGGATTAATTAGCAGGTCAATGGTAGTTGAGTAGCTATTACTAAATTACATGGCCTGCATGCAAAAGAGAGAATAAATCTGAAGATCTTCCCAGCTTGGGTGACTTGTGAGTTAGAATTCTAGGTCTGTGCGAAGAGATTTCCATTGATTCGTTGATGGGTAATGAGATCAGAAAAGATAGTACCTGGATTTCCTTCAATTCTACCCATTCAAGACTTAATCTTGTTTTCTGCCAGTGATATATCCTTCTTGCTATAGTTACTGACAGTGAGATTTGAAGACTTGATTAATAATAAAGAAAGAAAGCAGGGCTAACCACACCATAAGAAAGGAGAAAAATCAGGATCAGCAAAATAAGACAAGTGTTTGGTGCCAGCAGTGATAAACAAATTCTAAAAGAGGGAAAGGGCAAGTAATGATCTATTCCTTGGAAGAGATACAAGTTTTGAAAAGAAGCGAATCAACGGATGCACCAAGGAGCCCACTGTTTCATTAACCCTTTAGCAAATGTTTATGGACACACATGTACATACACACACATATGTATACAAATATATACCATATATGTATGCCATACATATGTATTATGTACCTTTTATATATCATTTATATATACATGTACTTTATATACTTATATATGTATACTGTGTGTGTGTGTGTGTGTGTGTGTGTGTGTGTGTGTGTGTAAATTCTAGACAGGAGGCAGAAATAACAAAATACAAAGGTAAATTATCTGCTAGGTTAGTAACTGAAAAGTGCTAGGGATAAAAGTAAAAGTAGAGCCATTTAAGGGAACAGGAGTTCAAATGAGTCACAGGGGTCATGTTTCAGTATTTAATAGTGTCAGGATAAGCCTCTTTGAGAAGTTGACATTTCAGCAGAGACTTGAAAGAGGAAAGGGAGTAGAGAAGACTTGTCTAATCAGAGGTAATAGCTAATGCAAAAGTCCTGTATTGGTGTGTGGTCAAGGAGTTTGGCATAGAGGAAGGATGCCAGTGTGACTGGACTAGAATGGGCAAAATGGGGAGGAGGTAGTAGGAAATGAGGTCAGAGAGGTAACAGGCATTAGGTCATATAGATCTGGTTGGTCTCTATAAAGATCCAGTTTGGAGGGTTGAGTTGTGATTTTGGGTTTCTCTCCTCAACTGGTGCAAAAGAAGCAAGTCATTTATGACAGCAACGATAGAGATAGTATTGCAGTAACATAATATGTGAGATTACTCAGAAGGAAAGAATTATCCTTGAGGCATCACACATAAATGCAATGAAAAGCAAACAATGAGGAGAGACATTTATGCATAGAGGAGAATGTTATTCTAGGAACTGGGAGCCAACTCGATTGTGCTAATGTGCATAATAATCAAACTGTCAGAGTGCTTTCCTTTAGGTCTGCGTCTAGGCAGGCACTGCTTAGAACATTTTATCTCATTTCCAAACGACTTTTAAGCCCATTAAAATGTTGTTTTCATTTCAATTAATAATTCAGCCAATAATACAATTATGAAATACAACTTTTGCTGATCGCTATTTCCAGAAGGCAGATTGGATGAACCTAGGAAGTGGAACAGGAAATATAGGGGAATTTTACTGGATAGCACTCAATATGGTATAAGCAGATGTCAGTATGGTCTGAAGATGTCAATAAACAAGCATGTTGCATAATCTCCATTCCCATTTTTACTGAAAGGAAACAAGTTTAGAATAATGAATTGTTCCTATTGGAGCTGTTCTTTGGACCCTTTTAGAAGCCTAAAGCTGGAGCAAGTTGATGGAAGGGAGCCATCTTTAGGACTTCTTTTGCTTGAGTTTGTACTACTCCACAGAACTTCCATTCTTCGCAAAAGTTTGAGCAAGAAACCAAAGCCTCTTCTCACTGTGAGGGCCAGGGGTGTGTGTGTGTGTGTGTGTGTGTGTGTGTGTGTGTGCTGGCAAGTTTATTTCACTTAGGTAAAACATTATCCTAGTGAATATTTCTGAGCTGTATACATTCATTCCAGAGATATATGTGGTGTTGCTTGATTGTACTCAGTTTTAACAAAAATGATTTCTCATCATGAATAGATATATTAATAGTTCCAGAAATAAGTTGGAAGCCCTACCATAACCACATTTTTCACAGAATTGTTGACGACGTTGGTTTCTTTGGATGAGTATTTCAGGTTTACCAGCTTGCTGCTCCTCTTTGCTCAGACAGAATCTGTAATGTACTATTCTAAACAAGAGAAAGGGTAATATTTCTCACTTAACCTCTTCAGATGACTAATCAGCAGCACATAATCATTCACATGACCTCCAAATGCCACTTCCTTGAATCAGCCGACTTTTCTGATGCTACAACCAATTAGTGCTAACACTCAATGAGATTTCAGGTGGGATGCTGCATAGTTGAAAATACTAAAAACTGAGTGAGGATACTTCCCATTTCCTTCTCTTCCCTAGTAAAACTGGCTTCTCCCTTGAGGTTACGAGACCACGTAGTATAGGCAGTAGACTAAATTTAAGCAAAAGATTCTTTTCTCTTTATACCGGAGAACCTTGTCAAATAACGTAGAATATTGTACTATGACTGTCTTCCCACCATCCCATAGCTTCACCCTTCAACCTTGAAATCTTACTCTCTTATTTGGTTACTCCAAGTGAAAAATATTAAAGGTGCCCCATTAAATGCATAAGACAAGAGTGTATCGTTTTAGTTTACTGAATCATGGAAGCTCCTATATAGGGCCATTTTGAATAATGCAGGTAGGCATCAGTTGTTCCTAGAACTGGACACTTCCCCCATTCCTAAGAGCTGTAGCCTCCCTCAAGCCACCAGATTAATAAAATGAGACAACTGTCTCACAAAATTGCAAGACTTGCTTATAAAATTGGAGGAGTGCTGTCCTTTTAATGCCTGTCAACATCTTGGGAGTAAGCAGCACAGTAATGATCAATCCCAGCTTCAAGCGATTTTTGCAAAAGTTTCTCTAAGTTTGGCCTTCTTTCACATGGCAACATCTTGGCAATCTCTCACAGTTCTTCCCTTTCTATCACCATAACAACCTTTATACAAAGTTAAGTAGTGGGAACAGGTCCATGCTCAGGAGATATAGGAGAGATTAACCATTATCGGAGACCATCTCCCCTAGTCCAATTGTGTGTTTCCAAGACTTTATCCAGAGAGTATGTGGACTTTTAAATTTTATTTATTTATTTTAATGAGTATGTGGATTTTAATAAATATGTGTGTGGACTTTTAATAACCCTAGCTAAGAAGCAGTCTCCAATCTACATTCGAAAGGTCTTTTCCGGGTCAGGGCCTCCTAACTTCCTGATGGGATAAATATTGGTGAGCACCACAGGTGTTTTCCCCTAAAAAGCACAAGGAATTTTAGTGCTGAATTTCTAACTACATCAATTCATGATAACAGACTAATTTTCTCAAAGATCAGGGGAATTGTAGGATGTCACCAATATATAAAACACATTTTACAAAGCAATATGAAATCCAGACCAAGCACCAACTGTCTGGGTGTGTCTGCTGCTGTTGTCTTTTCAGTACCACTGTGTTGGCAAAACATCTTCATAAGCTGCAGAGATGATGCAGAAGCTGCTCTGCCTTGCTTCTTCAGCCCTCAGGCTGGTAATGCCACCCAACCAGTGAGCTGTGAGGTGGAGCTTGGAACAAGACTAACAGTCATGTCAACTTCTCAATCTCTACTAACATGAAATCATTTGAAATGCCACAAGCCAGAGAGAGGGCAAGGCTTTCATCTCATGGTTCTTTAAAATCATCCTGGGCTAAGGTGGAGGCAGCATGGGCACCACCTGTCACATCAAGTGAGGAGTAAAGTGGTTCTCCACAAATAAAAATTAATTAAAATTAATAATAATAGGCCAGGTGCGGTGGCTCATGCCTGTAATCTCAACACATTAGGAGGCTGAGGTGGGTGGATCGCTTGAGCCCAGGAGTTCAAGACCAGCTCAGGTAACATGGCAAAACACCATTTCTACAAAAAGTACAAAAAATTAGCCTGGTATGGTGGTGAGTGCCTGTAGTCCCTGCTACTTAGGAGGCTGAGATGGGAAAATCACCTGAGCCCAGGAAGTTGACACTGCAGTGAGCTGTGATTGCACCACTGCACTCCAGCCTAGGCATCAGTTTTTTGAGACCGTGTCTAAAAAAAATTAATAATAATAATAATAATGTGTTATTGATGGCTATGAATTCCTCTACACATTCCCCCCTAAAAAAGTCTTATTAGCAGTTTGCTATGAGTTAAAAGAGGGAATTGGCAATAGATTCTTAAAAGAAACTTCCAAAAACAACTCAATTGTATGAATGTTGTCAAGATTTTGTGTTAGGCATGTTTTATGAATTAGTAACACTAATAAGCCTCTTACTTCCAAGAAATGCATTTCTTGGAATTTACTCAAAGCTTTTCCTTTCTCCCCTTACCTCCCTTTGATAAATTACATTTTGCCAACTTAAAGTAAATGACATTTCCCGAAAAGTTGACAAAGTACCTTACCAACAATAGCACTTTTAAAAGTAATCATCACCAATACTGTTAGAGTGAAAATAAACCACATTGAGTACAACTCAGCGCGTTTCATTTTTAATAAAGTTTCTAAACTTCAACAATATTATTGAGTGCCTGTTAAGTGCAAGGCCTCATGCTATACTCTCTGGGGAACTCAAAGATAAGCAAGACGTGTCACCAAGTCTCAAGTAACTTGTAATCAACTGAGTGCCCTTCAATAGTACACAATAACAAACCATCTTAATGAAAAGCAATAATCTAATTGATCTTTGGCACCTTGAGACTAATGACTTAAGTTATTTCATTTATGTCATGAAACAATAGCAGAGTATAGGGTCTGTTGATTGATATTTATTTAAATGACTGTGGTGAGAAATAATAAGCATCATGGTCTATTTAATTACCTACCTCCCCAGTGAGTTTTCTTTTCCATTTAGGATTAGTTTCCATTCTTGAGTTAAAAGTGCTGTGTCTATTATGGTTTTCTGGAATGGGTTCTTTGGGTGCCTCAGGAAGTTTAACTCTGCCCTCGGTCAGATATTATGTGTGAACGTGTGTGTGCATGTGTTTATTAGAGCAAGCTCTAATGGAAACACCTGCTTGTTCTTGATTCTCTTAACGAATTGTCTTGGCATTACTAAATGGCACCACAAACCAATTATGATACACTGTGTAGAAGCCATGCACTAACATTGCTCTCAAAAAGCAGGCCACTTATTTTTCTAATCCTTCTGAGAATTTTATATGCATGCATTACACCTACTCCACATGTAGGAAAATACCTCTAACTTACATTTTCATAGCACTTTACAGTTTACAAAATGTTTTCACTATCATAACTCACCTATAGCTTTTCCTCTGCTTGTAGTTTCATTTCATGATTTATACCACTATGTACATTTATGTGTGTACATGTGTGTATTGCTTAAGCTAGAAACCTTGGTATCTCCTTTATTATTGTGTTTCTTTTTATATATACATACAGCCTGTCTCCAAATTAAGTAAGTTTTATCCCTGAAGCAATCTGCCTACTTCCATCTATCCCTTAGTCCACAGTCTCAGCTAACTTGCTGTAATATCTTTCTGGCTTAATGCTACAATTTCCAGTTGGTCTCCCCTCCTCCACCTCCACATTTGCCCATCATATTCATTTCTCTACAGGCAGCCAGAATAATCTTCCAAAAAGCCAATTTGATTATAATACCCCCCTGTTTAAAACTCATCCCTGGCCCCCTTTGCCCTTAGAATAAATTATAAACTCCTTAACCTGGCCAGCTAGACTCTATTTTATCCAAGTCTTTCTCATTTTTTTTAAGCTTACTTCTTCATGACAACCCTTACATAGCCATGAAGAATTATTAGATTGAATCATATTAAACTGCCACTACTCAACCATTTTTGCAAAACAAATATGATACGTTGTTATTGTTCAAACTAAAATAGGCTGGATTATTTTTTTCCTTCTCTTTGACTTCAAGTGTGTGCTTCCTTCTACCTGAATATATTTTCTTAGTTCTCTACGTGGACAATTCCAACTTATCATTCAGATTTGAGTCTAGACTTAAAAATTCATCTTTGGAAGCCCTATCTCACTAGATCATCCTCCCTTCTAGATTCAGTTAGGTATTCTGTTTTTACCCATGTACGAATTGAACTTACTGACCAACATTGTAATTGTTTCATCTTTCTATTTTTTACTACTATGCATAAGCTTCATGAAGGCCAGGGACAGGCTTATTTTGATCACAAATATAACCCAAGTGTCCGGCACAATACCTAGCATATAGTAAGCTTTTAATAATGAATTATCAAATAAAGAATAATTAACCTAATAAAAATACGATGAATTCCATATTTATTTCCATCACCTCGTTTGGTTCTCTCAACAAATTCTAATGTTTTCTGGTTTTGACACTGTACTACCATTATGTATACTATCATTGGGGAAAGTTGGGGAAAGGATTCACGGGTCTCTATGTCCTAATTTTATAATTTCCTGTGCGACTATAGTTATTTCTAAATACAAAGTTAAAGCACAGTGATGTAGACAGGCCAAAGATGATAATTTCTAGTTGCATCTAATAAACAGGGCTTAGATAATGAGCAATTTATGCAAATCACATAATTAGTAATTGACAGACACATGACCTGGACATTTTTGAGTGAAGCCATGCAGAAGTTTTTTCCTTCCCCTGGATCTTCAAGTGGACCTAGCACCGAGTACCATGTTTTGTCCCTGAAAAACTTAATGTTGTACTCCAGATCCTCTATGTTGATTTGTAATTGTTTTCCTAAACTGAGAAGATGAACAAGTAGGAAACAGGATAACATCTTTAGGTTTCTTTCTTAAAGCCTAGATCCTAGATTCATCCTATGCAGTCAGCTTCCTCTATCTTTCCTTTTGCTCTGACCTGGACTCCCTTTACTTACTAATAAGTTCATTTGTTCATTAAACAATCTTTGTTGAAATTTGCTATGTCCCATATTATACTCTGGAAGCTGTGGAAAGAAAATAAAGTAAAATACAGCCTGCCCCCCGGGGAGCTCATATTCTAAGCAGGGATGGAGGGCAAGTGAGCACTTAACTAGAGGGCAGTGTCATAACTACTGCTTTAGCAATAAATACAGAGAGCTAGGCACACAGAGGAAGCCCCTGACATGGGCTTCAAAAGTGTGTAAGCTCTTTTTTAAGAAGGTTACTTCCAAACAGAATGCTAACAATAGGACTGAATGGCAGGGTGGGTGGGGTGGGGGTTGTTGAGGGAAAAGGGATCACGGGATCATATACAAAGATGCTGAGGTAGGAAAAGCAAGATTGGGAGGACTTTCCCAAGGAGTAGGCATGACTCTGACCCAAACAGCTCTAACCCCTACCTTTACCTTCAGAAGAAAAGTTAAGACTTTGTCTTGCTTCTCCCACCTGAGACACCTGCAGAGCAAGGTATGAGGAGGGGTGGACCTTGCTATTCTCCATTGCCAAGGGTAGGGCACTCGTCTTTTCCACTACATATGTGTGATCTTTGTCCCCAATACTGAGATACTGACCAGGCTATTTCCTGAACAGTGAAGAGAGTGTGAAAGGGAGGAAAAGGGACGCAAGGAACAAACACAACTTTTGAAATTCAAAGAATTCTATTAATTTTTCCTATTCTTGTTTTCCTTTTCTAGGTAAGTGAAACCAATTTTTACAGCACAGCAATGGTTACTGGAATCTGTCAACATGTAGTGACTTTCTTCACTGAATATGCCACGGGGAGACATTTCAATATCTTCCATCACCCCCGCTTGACTTGTGAGTCTTTATCCAGAATTTCTAAATAACCAATAAGTAACCTAGGATTAAGAAATATTTAAATGTTTACATTTGTATCTCTATGTGATGTTTAGTTATATCTTTAAGGTAAGTGGGCCTATTTAAGTCTTGATTTTAATAAGAAAAAACTAAAAGAATATTATTCTCTTTACAGCAAAATCCATGATAAATTTCCATTAAAGAACAATCTTCTTTAATGTGTTTTTCCTTATTTAATTTACATTAAATACATTTGGAGGGGAATCTTAAGATACGCATCTCTGATTGTTTGAAGCACACCTCTCTGTACACACATAGCGCTTCTCTTTTGTTCCTTTTCCCCTTAAAAGATCGACTCAAAGGTATGAATTGGCATGGTTTTTGGTGTGCTCTAGAGTGTAGGATATTAAAATACATGGCTTCTTTCCTGTTGCGTCATCCAATTCTACTCTGATGTCAGCATTTTAAAGTTGTAGAAAGTGAGTTCTTAGCAGTGCAGTGTTTAGTAGAATTTAGTTGGCAAAATGGGAGAAAAAATAGTGAAAAGAGGGAAAAGAATACTTGAGAACTCTCAAGTAAGTATTAGAACAGTGACTTCTCCTAGAAAATTGGCAGTGACTCCTCTTGGCCTCTGGCTGAGTTTGGCCACTCTTTGACTTTTCATATTTAGCAATTATTCAATTCCTTATCCTGCTTTCCAAAATCAGTTTTTTTTTTCTGCAGAGAATGCATCAGCCATGTTTTATTTTGCCATTTGCATTTACTCTGAGCATTTCAGATGTTCCAGTGAACTGAGTTGTGTGCCACTTGTGTGTAATTTTTGGTACAGGTACCCCTGTCCTTCACAGATAAGTGACACACCTCCTTATTCATAATAATTATCCTAGCTGATGGAGCTCATCGAGCCAGCCCCTCTGCTCACCTGATGGGGACAGAAGTTTCTGAGGTGCTGCTGATTTCTTATTTGAATTCTGTCATCAATATCCATGTGTGGAATTATTAATTACAACACACAATGGAATGGTCTTAGAGCAAAAGGTTGAACAGTTTTACCTGAAGATCACTGTTGGAATTGGCCCTCTGTGATACATTATTATAAACATTTCATTGTGTTTAATTGTTGAGTGCCTCACTCAATAATTTACTATTGTGTGTCAAAATGGGTCTTGCTCTATATGGTAAATGTAGGATGACTGTATTGCTGTGTATAATGTAGTTTCTAAATTCAGAAGTGAAAATGGCCCAAGTATGTCTGCTTTTAAACACACACACACACACACACACACACACACACACGATAGTACTGATGTAAAGAAAGCAACCATGAGATTTCGAATTCATGTCAGCTCCACTATAGCATCATGGATTTTATCATAATATTTGTATAGCACGATATAAAAAGAGCACTAGCTTTAGAGTCATAAAGTCAGAGCCTAAACCTAGGTTCTACCTTTTACCATCTTATGATGTGGAGTCAGGCACTTAATCTTGCTGGGTCTCAGTTATTTTTTAATAGGTAAACTGGATATAATGGTAATTATTTTCTGAAGTTATAATGAATATGCTGAGAATAAAATTTCATGAAATATTATTTGTAAAATTCCTGATACATCATAGATTATCAATAAATGGTAGCTGATGAAGGAGGAGAAGAAAAAAAGAGGAAGAAGTTAAGGTGGTTGTGGTGGTGGTGGTGGTAGTAATGGTGATGGTAATGATGTTCTGAGCCTGGAAATATCAATGTCATAGCTTCTTTTAGGCATTGATTTTGTTGTGTCTTTATGATTTCCATGTAAATGTGAACGACTACCTAACAGAGAATTTTAATTGCCAAACTCTTGATGTTGTTTACAACCGTATTATAAAAAGTAACAGATGGTTTTATTATTAGACATTAGTTATAGATTCTCAGTAGAAAAGATCCAGTTGTGATTAAGTGTTGCCAAACTGGCTAGGTCCTAATGAAGCAACTTTTGGAGTGTGACTGCTGGGATCTCAGCTGGGCTCCTGTATTGCTAACTGGGCAAGTGAACCAGTGAGTGACCAAAGAAAGAGTATTTCAAGCATGAAAGTAATGAAGCCTTCCCTTCCAGCACTCACTTCTCACCATTTTTTTAGAGAACTGTGACATTTTTTTACCAGGATGAGTCTTCATATTTCTGCCATGCTCTCACCTCCACTGTGGGCAAGAAGAGCAGTAAGAATAATAGCTAACATTTATGTACTGCTTCCTCTGTGCCAGGCACCATTCTACATGGTTACATGTGTTTATTTAAACTGCACAATAAAAGTTTGAGACAGGCATGGTTATTGATCGCTTTTTAGATAGGAAACTTTGTTGTAAAATATTTGAGTAATTTTTCCAAAATATTTGATCTTCAAGCTTGTTGCTGTAAACCACTATGAATATTGGCCTTAGACTGAGAGATCTAAAATTTCTTTACCTTTGAGTTAAGCATACCTACTTTGGTAGTATCTTTTTAAATCATAAATATCATTATTATCACTGTAATTTTTAATCTCTTACTAAGGATTACATCCCAGGGGATGTACATACGTTATCTAATTGTACTCCCATAATAACCCCTCAAGGACTGTATCTTTTCTTTTTTATTTTATAGTTGAAGAAATAGCGCTCAGATAAGTGACTCTACAAGACTGTGTGATGCAGCTAGAGAGTGGCAGAGTCTGATTTGAAGCCAGATGTATGTGACTCCAAGTCTACGCCCTTATCTACCATCCCATGATAACCACTAAACAACAGTAAATAGGATATCCTTAGTGCATGGTGTGACTATTTCAGTGGTATATGAGTTGTGGGGACTTGTCTATTTCAGGAATGTGTTCTCTATGTGGTGTCCCAGCTCGGTGTGGTGTCCCTTTACAGAATAGCTCTGTGACAGAGCCTACGTCCATGTGCCTAGGGCAGTGATGATAAAAGATACTGAATTTCTTATGGTTGCTGACCACTCAGTGATGCTGAGCAAGCCTCCATTGGGCAGGTCTATAGCCCTGTTTATTTTTTTCCTACATATCAGTGTCATGCAGGTCTATACTAAAACGTGTCTGTAATTTGGGTCCATCTCCTGTTTTCACTTCACATAATCTATCCTCTATAGCAGTTCAAAACATCTGAGTGGCAGACACTACTTCAAAAATATTCCCATTTTCATCATCACCCAAAAGAATTTCTAAATCCTCACCATCTCCTTTATTTTGCTTATATTCTCAAAGACACTAGCTATGGATTTATAAGATATGCTTCCCACAAGTAGCATTATTAAGTTAATGTTTATGCTCCTCTGAACTGTTTCATTTGAGTACAAAGCTTTGATGCTTCTTAAAACCTGTGTTGATTCTTTACACACCTGTTTGAATGAGTATATAAAATAATTTCTCAAAATAGATGTTGGTCAGGTCATGGAGAGTGACAGCATGAAGGTCCTGGGTATCTGGGGAAATGTAGCAGGCAGGAGTCATTCTACTGGAAGAACAAGAAGAGAAGACCATAATAAGGCAGGAGATATTTTTGCCGAGTAGTCAATTTCTCCTAGTGCCAATGTGATTTCTGTCACACTTTCTCTCTTAATGAGTAAGGCATAAGTTCTCTGGTAATAATTGTCTACTTTCAGAAGTTGCATGTACGATGAAATGGTCTGCCTCGGGCTATCTATGTTGATTGTTTTCGGGAAAATATAGGATAAGCTAGGAACATATATGGTACCCATTACATTCTCTTTTCCAAACCAGATTTATTTGTTTCAAGTTTGTTGGCTTAGGTCAAGATGAGAGCAAGGGTAGAATAAAACAGATAGTAAGGTAGATGGGTGTATGTGTTT
Organism: Homo sapiens; assembly: GCF_000001405.40. Lineage (NCBI taxonomy): Eukaryota > Metazoa > Chordata > Mammalia > Primates > Hominidae > Homo > Homo sapiens. The sequence continues at coordinate 117,725,216 of NC_000003.12, read as the reverse complement.
TCATAACTTTAAGACTAAAAAACAAAAACCTCCAACCAATAATGTAATGTGAGAGTGCTTTTAAAACTGCGTAGTGGTTATTTTTATGGGTTTTATCATTTCCCCTCATACTAGAGACTGAAAGGAAGTCCATAGAAACCATGTATAATCACAGGAGGAAATACACTGACCAAATCTGAAGAAGTTTGATGTGTAATACTGTCAAGGATTAGAGGAAGAGAAGGAAATTCTCCAATGGTTCTGTGTTCTTATGAAGCAGAATAATGATAAAGTGACTATACGTGGAAATTTCTTCCATAAAAATAATACATTAACCTAAACATTTTAATTGATTTTTGCAGAACTCTTTACACACAAACACGTATACACAAAATTCATTTTTCTCTAGTATTTATGTGGTTAGTACCTAAGACATTTTGGAGAAATTGTATGTTTTCTTTAATCTTCACTGATAAAATGTATAGAATGTACTCCAGTTGGTCCATATCCTTCATGATGGGACTTAGAATTGAACTTAGCATTTCAAGCATTGTCTTACCAGGGCAACTCACATTTATGCAGAAAGAAAGTAATTATTCCAGGAACATATGGTAGGTATTGTGGCTGTTCCCCAGAAGAGGATGTTCTTTCAATCATACCTCAAGTTAGGCTCTAGGAGGTAGTAGTCTGGGTTGATACACACGTGTACTGCAATTAGAGAGCCTCCATCCATAACCTCTTCCTCCAACTTACCAACTAGATGACCACGACCTCATTGTTGTGGGGATTAAGACATTAATTCATGGAAATAGCTCTGATTCCCTCTGAAAAAAAATAGTTAAGTGTCCAAGATACTAGTTTTTATAATTAAACCTCACACAGGATTGTAAAGGAAATTTTCACATACTTTTCAGTGTCTTATCATTACTGCTGTCACTAATGCTGCCATCATTCTATACAAAAATTATTTCCTCTGGGGCCTTTCTGCTTTTGACAGTGGTGATGGCTCTATAGATTAATTATGGAGCTTTGCTTCCACACGGCACCACATGTTTAACATTCATATTTCTTCCTGAAGGAAAAGAAATATTTTTGACTAAAGTTTTTAAACTATAGTATTTAACTGCTGGTTTGCGCGATTCATCAAGTGTTTTCATAATCTGGTTACTCTCTTGGACTTGTAGAATTTCAAATTAGGAAGGCTAGAATTGTAAATTACTTTTGCATATACAGGCTGGGCCATATGTGTAAAGGAAAGTAGAAAAAAATTAAAGAAATGTCTTAGATTGCTGAAGGGAAATAAAGCATCCACAATTCAGAATTGCTTCAAATTATGTGGCTATTTGAGTTTTAAGTTTTATTCTGAATGATTTATTTTCTCAAATGCATATTAGACCACCAAGAGTCTTAGACTTGTGAGGATCTCAGGTCATCTGAACCTAAACTTCAGTGCTATGCAGTTTTATGTGTCATCCTTCTCTAGTAATGAGCTAGCCTATGTCTGAACACTTCCCTCAAATCCAAGATAGTCTTCATTCTGTCTTTGGATGAATTTATTAGAAAACACTTTCCTCTTTAGACCTCTATTCTCGCTTCTGGTATTTGCCAGCCTTGATCTTTTCTCTCCTCTGTGAGACTCTCAGTTGTAGCTTTGGAATTCTATTCTTGGCTGGGCACGATTGCTCACGCCTGGAATCCCAGCACTTTGGGAGACTAAGGTGGGTGGATCACATGAGGTCAGGAATCCGAGACCAGCCTGACCAACATGGTAAAACCCTATATCTACTAAAAATACAAAATTAGCCAGGCGTGGTGGTGCATGCCTGTAATCCCAGCTACTTGGGAGGCTGAGGCAGGAGAATCAATTGAAGTTGGGAGATGGAGACTGCAGTGAGCCGAGATCATGAAATTGCACTCCAGCCTGGGCAACAAGAGCAAGACTTTGTCTCAAAAACAAAATAAATAAATAAATAAAATAAAATAGAATGCTATTCTTAAACACTAAATATATTTCTCTCTGCCTTTCACATTCATCAAATGATTGAACTAATGTTATTAATTCTCAATATATCGCCTACGTAACTACTAGGAGTTTACTTGAGAACTTGACTAGATAACCCAACATACCTACTTCTGCAAAAAGACACAATCTTAGCAGTTCATGGAGGGGAGAGGGCAGACATGCTGTTTCACTTCCCCTAGCAACGTTCTGATTCAATTTTGATTGAGCAAAGTTATGCCAGGACAAATAGCTGCAGATGTTCCTTTTTTCAGAAAAGTATCACAGGACTGTACTTCTTTTAAAATAGTTTTTTTTTTTTTCTTAAAGTGATTACCTGTTGTTCTCTCAGGAATGGTCTTTCCTAAAGAAGCTCTGGCTTGCACATTGATTTCAAATTACAAAAATAAAAACTGAGAAGAAGAGAGAGAGAAAAGTGAAGAAAAGAGTAGAAGGAAAGAAGAGAGGGAGACAGGAGGAAATGGGAAAAGAAAAAAGAAGAATTAATTGAGATTTATCTTGGATGTAGAACTAACCTAAATTCATAACTCAGAGAGTAAAAAGATTTAAGCAAAAATAGTTTTGATTCATAATAGGAAGCTGAGCACTTTATACGTGGCCAATGTTGTTCTAAGGGCTTTAAATATATTAATCTTCCTAGTCTTTCCTAAACCCATTGAAGTAAGTTTGATCATCCCCATCTCTGCAATTGAGGCAACTGAGATGCAGAGAGGTCAAGTAATTTGCTTAAAATAACTCAGCTAAGAAATGATGGGGCTGGGAATTGAGCCCAGGAAATACTCTTTCAGAGTTTACACTTTTAATAACACCTCCACCAACAACAATAGCGAACATTTACTGGTCATTACTAACTATCAGCTGCTCTTCTAAATATTTAATCTCACAAAAAACTCTGGAGCAAGTCAATATTATTATTCCCTATACGTAAAGAAACAGAGGCATCAATATGTTAAATCACTTACCCACATTCACACATCTAGTTAGTGGTGGTACTGGGATTCATATCCAGCCCTGCCACTATGCTAGAGAGATAAATTGTCACCAGGACCTTCAAGATAATGGTGGTCTTGTGGATAAAAAGGGTAAGCACCTAAGCACTCAGCATATACTGCACTCCAAAATGGTGTGTGAATATTTAGCCACATATCCGTGAGTAAAAATTATCATAATGCAATCTGATTACAGAAGCACAGACAGGACACTGAGTAGTTTATCTGATGAGGGACGATAATTTTTGTCTCAGAAAGTCTAGATTGAAGATATATAGAGCAGACAATTGAAAAAGTGAAGGAAGGAAGCAAAGGTTTAAAGAGCTTTCATTTTCTAGTCAAGTTGTCTTAAGAAGGAGATAGTTCTGGAATTTGGGGAAAGCAGAATGGCTAATTGAGGTTGAACATGAATCTCTATAGAGCCAGGAACCCTGATAAGTCCTGTACTAAGACATTTTTAGGGTGCTCACCTGATTCTCCTTGCACCTTTCTCTACTCTTTTATGTTTAGGCTTTATTCTTATCCCAGTTAGATTTTGAGAAATTGAGTCAGAGAATCAACAATAATGCAGACATTTTAAATAACAGGTCTTTCTTTCTACCCATCTCCCTCATCCTCAGTCTCAGTTTTCCTGACTGACATTAATCCATGGTTACTAAAAAGCTTGCAGTCTCCCAACTCCCCCACAAGAGAGGGGGCTTTACTATATATAAGTCTTTACTTGGTCAGTTTTGCATTGGACCTGAATCCATAATGTAACTTCTGCATCAGTGCCCCCGCTGCTGTCTTTTATGCCTCTCCTTCCCTGTATGCTTGAGTGCAAAAAGTAATTTCTACTTCCTCCTTCCCTTGTGAAGCTCACATCAAACCTCTCCCTCTTTGAATCTACTCTTGCTTTAATTAGCTATACCAGAATTTTCCACACCTCTCTGGGGATGGATATCACATTAAATAAAATTGATGTTCTCCCCATGAGTTGCCAGTTTCTTATTTTTCCAAATAAATTTAATAAAATATCCCATTTACTATCACTAAATTTCTTGAATGAAAGGGCAGTTTTATTTTCAAAATATAGGAACAACACCATCTCAACATAAAGGAAGTTCCCTTACATCAGAAAGCAATTGCCATCACAAAAATATTTCAAGGTTGTTTTCCTTTATCATCACACGGCAGCATTTGGGAAACGTTTAGCTAATTACCTGTAGGTATGCTCAAATAGGCATAGCTTTCTGTGATCAATTATAAACTACCTCTTAGCAAAAGTCATTTCTTAAGGATTTGTGCTGGTACATGACTTACCCATATCATTGTTTCCACAGCTCAAAGCAATGAAGTCATAGTCTCACAGATCATTCGTGTTTGGGAACCATTGAAATCATTAAGTCTTGGTCATTTTTTCACTTGAATTTAGGGCCATATAATATCTTTTGTGGATTAACCAGAGCTAGTTATTTCTGAGTCTCATTTTTATTTATCCTTACTCTATGTCAGGCCCTATGTTAGACCTGGGGTTTACAAAGAGGACTAAAGTGGCATCTTTGTTCTTGGGTATTCGCTAACTCAACTTCACACCTAACTGCCTGCCTGCCCTCTGGACATCATTACTCCACTACATCTCATTGACTCTCACAGCCGAGCTGAGACTTACTAGTGAGGTGAGTCCCAGGGAACCCTTGAATCAAAGGAAAGAATAATGAAAAATTACTGAGCACCTACTATACTTAGGCATTTCACATAGCATATCAGTGTATGTTTTTTGTATTATCAAAAAAACCTTTTGAGTAGGTACAGTCTTCAATAATTTACCGATGAGACAGCTATCTAAGAGAGGTTCAGAAACTTGTCACAGGTTTATTAAGGGTAGCCTAAGGACTGTTCTCAAGTTTTGTTTGTCTGATTTCAAAGACCCTGAGTTTTTTTTACACATCTAGCTGCCTTTAAGAGAGGAGAACACAAAGACCCAATTTGTATACCTAGTGGAAGCTGAGCCACGCTTGATTTCTATTATATCCAACCTTTATGTTTACATGATTACCTTCTGCTCTTACCTTTGGTATTGTTCGCTTGCTGCTATTTACCTAAAACATCTGCAAAGCTATTTTAAATCAGGATATAGGTTTCAGTTCATATTTTACATCTTCAGTGAAGCACTCCCTGACCACTCCCCTATATAGTTACCTTCTCATCACTATTCCCTCTTCATGTTATATTTTTTACCACTTACTGCAATCTGTAAGTATCTTATACAATTGCTTATATTCCTAACATAAAGAGTAGTATCTAGCACAAAACATGCCCTTGATAAAATTATTGAGGTACATGTATTTTTCAGATAAAATTAGCATTGTTATTTTTTATTAGAATACCGCATCTTTGAAAATTCTAAGTATTCTTTTTCTCACAATAGATACGTTTCTGAAGAGTTCTATAGTTTTCATGCTTTTAAAAAATAAACCAAAATATGAATTTGAAATTATGTAACACATGTAGCAATTTTAAGAGACCTATAAACCTTAAGCAAAAAAAACCCCTATGTAAATAGCCTTCTTTCAATAATTTACATTTATATGTTTATCTTATAGGAATGTATCTTCCACATCTCAAAAATGACACATATTTATGATGTCTCAGTTAATGAGGAGAATTAGGTATTCAGTTTCTAGTAAGTAATGAACATCTGGATGCAGTTCTCCTCTGCTGTCAGCAGGGGTCTCAAAAAGCCTTTTACCCATCAAAATGTCTATTAAAAATTAGTGAGTTGTTTTGTTGTTAACAAAATGGAACACACATACTCTAAAATTTGTTAAATGCATTTTGTTAAATCTCTGTATCTTGTTTCTAAATGACACATGTTTGGTTTTGCTTATGTGTATTGATAACTGTTATTTAATATTTACCTAGCACTAAGTTGATAAGTATATCTTAACAAGCATCAGAACACACAGTGTGAAAATAGGACTGATTTGTGTTTCTTGAGGTTCTTAACATATTTCCTGTGTTTAAACAAGTCCAAGGAATTGCATGAAACTAATAGAATTGGTATAACAACAGCCTGCAACTCTTCAGTCTAACTCTTTCTAAATTATTCAGTGACTTGTTTGGGAAGAAGCCGATCGCACTTGCCTTGTAGAAAATGTTTTCTTCTCCTTTTAGCTCAGTCCCAACAGGGCCTGCCAGGCACAAAAACTGCCTCCTGGATGCCCATAAGCATTGCAGTCCTGATTTTAGGGAGGGTAGCAGAGGTCCCAGCAGCATTTTTACCTGCCTTCTCTCACATTTCAATAGTGTTGGCATTTCCGCTCTTCTCTCCATTCCCCAGCAAAAGGTGAGAAAAGTCTCCGTAGCAGACCACCTCTTCCAGAGTTGTTTTCTTCCCATGCACTCACCGATGTTTGCTTGTTATTCACACTGCCCTCAAGCCCTTTCTTCAAGTCGCCCTATGTTTTCACTCCCATTATCAATAGGAATTCAAGCTTGCAAATAATCAGCAGAAAAGTTAGCATTTCCAAAGCCCATTTTTACATTCACTTTCATAAGATTTCTGATAAGGAATCCTCCCAAATTAAGTGCTGATTGTTGTTGGTATCCCCTCCACCATTTTACTATATCTATCTAAAAAATGGATGAAAGGATGGACAGACGAATGGATGGATGGATAGATTAAAAATAGATACATATGAGTAAATATACTCATACTACCTGTACATATAGATATATGTATTTAGTAAATATATACTATATATGAACACACTATACATGTAAGGTGAATATATGTATATATATTTAATAACTCTAGTTTTATCTCTTTATCAATTTGTCCATCTATGTAGTAAATCCTAGGGACGCCAAGAATTGGCATTTCTCCCTCTGTGCTGACCATTGAACTGGGTAACGATGGTCAAAATCCTGCCTCCAAAACCTCATAATTTATCAAACATTACAAAGTTCAGCACACAAAAATCTCATGAGCACTTTCAAAATGATATGTAGCTAAATTCAGACACTGTGTAAAGTGCATATGTGCTGAAAGGAATAAAATAATAACACCATAATGCTAAGGTGATGTTCGATTTATAATAGAAGATATCCCCATGAAAATGTGTTGTGAGTCCAATGGGAAAGGAATGGTGTATTAGTCTGTTCTCATGCTTCTAATTAAGACATACACAAGACTGGGTAATTTATAAAAGAAAGAGGTTTAATTGACTTACAGTTCCATGGCTGAGGAGGCCTCACAATCATGGCAGAAGACAAAGGAGAAGCAAAGGCATGTCTTACATGGCGGCAGGCAAGAGGGCTTTTGCAAGGGAATTCCCATTTATAAAACCATCAGATCTTATGAAACTTATTCGTTACCATGAGAACAGTATGGGGAACCGCCCCCGTGATTCAGCTGTCTCCCACCAGGTCCCTCCCACAACACATGGGAATTCTGGGAGCTACAATTCAAGTGAGATTTGGATGGGGACATGGCAAAACCATATCAAATGGGTCAATCAGTTTGTCATAGAAGAAGAACATCCATATACAGAGAGAAAAAGGATGCAGCAGGGATGCAGAAGTTGTGAAAGAAAGCTTAAGGAATGTGAGAAGTCTCACAGTGGCTTGAGTCTCTCAACCTGGCTTGAGTCTCCTAGACTTTCTCATCTTCGAGAGGATATGGGCTCTGTCTAGTGGATTCCACACTTGTGAAGAGCTACTAACTCAGGCAATGCTAATCGAAAAAGCATTGTCAAATTCATTCTTTCACTTATTCTTTCATTAAATCACTTTCTCCCTTGTTCATTAAACTGCAAGCACATATCAGCCTCTTTTTTTCCATTGGGGTTTGCAAATGCTCTTCCTTCTGTTTAAAATGTTTCTTTCCCCATATTTTATCACATGAGCCTTATTCTCCTTTCTCAGATCTTGTTAATAATTGTTTTAAATCCTCAAAATGGCTTTTCCTGACCAAATTTTATCACAATATCTTGATCATTTTTCACAGAATCTCAAAATTTTCAGTTATTTATGCATTTTATACAAATTCGTTGTCTGTCTTCCCCAGGGGAATGAAAATGTATGAAAGAAGGAATATTTGTTTTCTTTGCTACTGTGTGCTCAGGGCCCAGGATGGTGCCTGGAACATAGTAGGCATTCGATAAATATTGGTGTTAAGTGTGTGTGTGAGTGAAACCATGTGAGTAAGTATGAAGATTCAAACTAAAAAAAGTCTTTTTGCAGAATCAAAAATAAAAATTGAATCTCCCCATGTCCAGAAGAACAGTAATTCCAAGTGCTTATACATAAATTATGTTAGGCATTAAAATTATATATGGTCGGTAGATAAATATTTAAAATACAAACTGATGCATATACTTACAGGGACATCACTCCCTATTTCTCAAAGGTACAAGTAAATATATATGTATATGTTAAAGAATTATAAGCCTCCTGGGATATTGGAATCAATATTAGAAGATATTAGAATGTCCCTGTCTTATAAGATTAACATACTCATCTTTAAAATACTCATTCTAGTCTACAAGATCTGTCATCATTAACAGCAATATCAGCATCATGAATATTTATTAATTACTTACAAGGAGTTGTACACTGGTTTAGAAGTAATCCCTGCCTAAATGGAAATTTGCAGGCTATAACAAATGACATTTGTATGGGTGACAAGGTGAATTTCTATGAACCAGCAAATGTCCAACAACAATTAACATATCATTAGATTATGCCTGTGTTCACACTTCCAGTCTCAATAAATGGTTCACCTCATTATCTAATGGTTGTTATTGAATATTAGTGCTATCTCATACATCAGAGCAGTTGTCTACTGAAACAAGTAAACTTGCGAATTGAATATGTGCTTCCTGATTTATTCCCAAGAATAATTTCTATTTTCTACCATGTTATCCTAAAGAGAATCTAAGCTCCATCAGGGCAGAGGATTCACTTATCATTTTCACAGCTATATCTCCATCTCCTCCCACAACTGTGGCTTATAACAAGTTAGGGGCAATACATATGTGTTCAACAAATGATTAAGTTCAGAAATTTTAGTCAAATATTGAGTGCTATTGCATGTCAGACAGTAGGCTAGATACTTTATATTTATTATCTTATCTAATCTTCACTACAAGTCTACAACTTTGTGATGTTATTATTCCCATCTTACAAATAAGGAAACTGAGTTTTAGAAAGATCCTCTTGCCAAGAGTACACATGCAGTCAATAATGGAGAGAGTTTTTAGCCTCAGGCTCTGTGGCTCCAGAGGTTATATACCTTCCACCATGCTATTTACACTATCAGGTCAAGAAGCAGTTGAAAGTTGATGTGGTTGGGATTCATGCACAATGAAGGCTTGGGTTGGATGGTCTCACTATGTTAATATTGTGTAGTAAGTAGGCGAGGTAAGATATTGTTCAGTAAAGTACCACAGAAGTGTCCATAAAGGCGAAATTAACTATTTTAAAAGTCAGCATAATAAAATCCTAGATGTTATGGATACTAGATAAGCTGCACTATATGATTTTAAATAAAACACTGTTGGAGAGGAAGAAGAGCATGGTACTTTATAGATTATTAGCTGCTCGATAAAAGACTAAATGGATTCTCAGTTCTGCCTCTTATAAGCAGTGTAGCTAAGGTGTATTTAGTTTCTGTGTGCCTCAGTATACTTATCTGTATAATCAGATAGCTGTCACTAATAACAAAGTAAATATAAAGTGTTACAGTGACTGGCACACACTAAATAATAAATGTTGACTATTATAATAATTCATTGATTCTATTCCAGAAATAAGATATGACAAATGTCTTCCAAGTTCTATGGATAAAAATCTAACTCAAACAATAAATGGTGTGTTTCCTATTTAAAGATAACATGAGCTGGGCGCAGTGGGTCACGTCTGTAATCCCAACACTTTGGGAGGCCGAGGTGGGCAGATCACAAGGTCAAGAGATCGAGACCATCCTGGCCAACATGGTGAAACCTTGTCTGTACTAAAAATACAAAAATTAGCTGGGCGTGGTGGCGTGCGCGTGTAGCCCCAGCTACTCAGGAGGGTGAGACAGGACAATCACTTGAACCTGGGAGGTGGAGGTTGCAGTGAGATGGCACCACTGCACTCCAGCCTGGCGACAGAGCGAGACTCCGTCTCAAAAAAAAAAAAAAAAAAAAATACTATGTATTGTGTTCATCTCTCAGTCCCTGTTCATAACTATGTGTGGATAGCTTAGCGTTGTAACAAACTTTCAATGATAAATTTGGTTTGATCAATACAATTGCCTTTCCTTTCTTTGACTGATGAAATTACTTGATTGTGTGCTTTTTGCAGAGAATTTTTTATGTATTTCATTCCTTACAAAGTAAAATGTAGTCAGAAGATATGGAGCTATGATTGGTCCAGTAGAGAATAATGTATTGTTTCGTAAACAATATCCCACATCAAACATCTCACCTACCATACTACCAATTTTGGATGGAAAGAGCCTAGAATTCCACCCTCTTTTGTCATCAGGGATACCAACACACTGGGAACAATGCATTTAGCAAGATTTTATTTATAGTAAAATCTCCTCCAAGGAAAACTCCATCTATACCAACAGTCCCCAACCTTTTTAGCACCAGGGACCAGTTTTGTAGAAGACAATTTTTCCATGGATGGGAGGGGGAATGGTTTCGGGATAAAACTGTTCCACATCAGATTGTTAAGCATTACATAGATTTTCATAAGGAGCATGCAGCCTAGATCCCTCTCATATGCAGTTCACAGTAGGGTTTGCACTCCTATGAGAATCTAATGCCATGGCTGATCTTAGAGGAGGTGGAGTTCAGGCAGTAATGCTTGCTCACCTGCTGCTCCACTCACCTCCTGCTGTGCATCTTGGTTCCTAACAGGCAATGGTCCCGTATTGGATCTGTGTCCCAGGGGTTGCTATAAAACTGTTGCAACAACGTAGACTTTAAAATGGAGAAAACCAGAATTATATCTTCTAAAAAAATAGAGTTCTCGTTTTCTGTATCTTTTCCAGGACTGATCATCGTTATTTTTCCACTCCATATTTATTATTACCATTAAACCATAAGCACTTCTTCATATAATGGCTTATTCTCCTTGAATGCTCTTTCAATTATGTATGTGCTTATAATTTGCTAAATCAATCCCCCATGTTAACAGTGTACATGTTAGATATGTACATTTCTTCCTGTTCTTCATTTTATAAATAACATTACATAAATTTTTGTAAATATACTTCTATTTATGTATATATGTATTTTAATATACTTCCTGTAGAACGAATTTCTGGGTATGGCCAAAGGGTTTGAAGACTATTATGCTACCTGAATTATAGAGAAAAATATTTTCCCAAGGGATGGCACCAGATTGTCAGTAGCAGTTCACAAGTATGCCAGATTTAACATTGCCTTTCAATTATTGAATTATTTCTTCTTCATTCTTTCATTAGTATAAGCTTATACGTCAGTTTAATATAGACTTCTGTTTGAGGTATCTGGTTTACCATTTTCAGTAACTTAATTGTAATTCTTCTTATATAATTTATTCTTTCTTATTAACCTTTTTTCCTTTAGCTATTGATATCTTGATTTTATTTTCTTATTTAAATTGGTGAGACCTTTATATAATATAGATCTTAATCATTTAATTGTGTCTGTTATATTTTTTCCATGTTATACTTTAATTTTTCTTAGGAGTTTAATTTTATGTAGAAAAATAACCTGACTTCTTTCTTTCTTTGGACATTTTAGCAACTGTAAAGTTCTTCCAAAGATGTGATAAAAATTGCATATTCTGATCCCTCTTTACCTAAAAAAGAATTTATTCGGACAAATGGTATGAAGTAGGTATCTTCTTTTTTAAGCAAAATACTAAACAATTTCCTCAGCATCATTTATCTAATTACATTTTCTGTACTTACTGTTTTATGATGCTTTCTTTGTCATATATTATATTCTTACATATAATTGGATCTCATTATATGCCTTTTAAAAACAGGATTTGACCTATATAACATAACGATGACTGGACATTGCTCCAGGATGTTGATTGAATGCTTCTACATAGCATCTTCTCTATGGCAGGTTGTTAACATTTTAATGTTTTATAGAAGTGAATTCTTAAAAAAAAAATGTTGGTGAGTGCATTGGAAACCTTTTAAAATGGCTGTAATTAGCTACTCTGGGAGAATGTTATAGGTTTTGATGGGCCCCTCAGTGGCAGTTCTAGTGGCCTATCCTATTGACTGACAAAAGATTGTGGGAGAATACTTAATGTTGTTTTAATTAACAACTCCTAAAAGAAAATGTCAATTATCTTCCATTTGGCTGAGGCCTATCCTTCCAAATTTTTTTCTTACCCCTTCTCAAATGCTACATAGAAAAATATTTGTTGTATTCCCCAATGGACATCCATCATCTTTTGGAAGTGAGAACAGTGTTTAGTTTTTATATCCTGAATTAATGATAATTTTAAGTCTTTAAAAAGAAATTATACTGCCTTTAATATCTACCTAGCAATGGTAAGTACTTAATTTTGTTTCTCAGAAGGTAAAATGGGAAGATAGATCAATCACAGAACATAATAAAACATGCGTTAATTTATTTCATGTGGAAAGAAATTATTAATAAAGTTGTCCACAAGAAAAACAGAAAGACAATAAATGAGTAGAGAGGTGATAACAACACCCCTCTTTCGTGTGTATGGCAGTGATAACAGCAGTACTTACCTCATAAAATTGTTCTAAGAATTAAACACAACGCTGTCATGTCAGTGTGAGAGCTTTGGCGGTCACGTGGCTATAATTATCACTGGTTACGTTCTACATGCATTTGAAGGTCTAGGTGCAGAAAAAGAGGAGGCTATTTCAAGTAGAGACATTGCTATCTCTGGGCTTCGGCTCAGGCTAATGTCTCTACTTATATTGGAAGAACTAGTTTAGCATTGCAGAAAGTTAAAAAGAAAAGAGTTCTTAAATTAAGCTTTAAAATTCGATGCAGTATTTATGAACATACTTTTATCTTTTCATATGGTCATGTATCAGGTAGTATGTTTACTGGTTGAGAGAAAAATGCCACCCTAAGGTTTGCTGATACAATGAAGTCATCCAAATTCTATGATTACCTGCCTTGGCCCATGTCTCCATCACTGACAGATGTCATCCTCCTACTTTTCTTAAACTATGAAATTCTAAGTACTTATGGGCTGCTAGAGATTCCTCAGTGTACACAACAGTTTGCTTATTACTTAAAAGTCAGAAAGAGGTAGGTGCTTGGGCCCAAAAACAGACACTTCTTTAAAAGGACCTTCTAGCGATAGGAAGACAGGAATCCCACCCCCTACCTTGGGAAAATGAGCAGTTAGAGAATGTAAAAGAAATTATCTGTTCCATTTATAAAAATTCAAATAAATTGTGTGCATCTAATAATAGCTTATACAATACAGATATGTATTTAAGCATTTTCTATATCTCAGGTGCTGAGGGGAGAATTCTGTATATTAACTGACTTATGTATTAGAACAAACTTATGAAGTAGGTACTATTCTTACTGATGAGATACTGAGGCATAGAGTGATTAAGTATAACTTGCCCAAGATGGAACTTGAATTGGACTCAGCATTCGATCTCACAGTATCTGTTCTTAACCCATACACTTCCTGTTTCTCTGCATTAAAGTAGACTCAGCTCTTGAGGAATTAAATAAGATCTTTGGGTATAAAGGGCCAGGCTTGTGACATTTAGGCTGCCATCCTACTCAGATTTCTCTCAACCTTTCTCAGGAATGACTCAGACAATTCTGAAGGGGGGAAAAATGTGCCCTTTTCCATAGTTAAAAAGTAGATACCAGCCAGGCGCTGTGGGTCACGCCTGTAATCCCAGCACTTTGGGAGGCTGAGGTGGGCGGATTACTTAAGGTCAGGAGTTCAAGACCAGCCTGGCCAACATAGTGAAACCCTGTCTCTACTAAAAATACAAAAATTAGTCGGGTGTGGTGGTGCATGCCTGTAATCCCAGCTGCTCGGGAGGCTGAGGCACGACAATTGCTTGAACCTGGTAGGCGGAGGTTACAGTGAGCTGAGATCGCGCCACTGCACTCCAGCCTGGGCAATAGAGCGGGACTCAGTCTCAAGACTAAAAATAAAATAAGATAAAATAATAAAAACAAAAAAGTAGATACCATTGTTCATTCTGAAATTTAAAGTTTCTCATTGCACCATCTCATTGCATCCCTAGCCTTCCTGAACATTTCCCATCGTGTGCTCAAATAATTTGCAAGAAATGGCCTCTGTGGTTACTACAATTTTGCACTGCACACTCGTTTATCCCTAGATCTGTAGGTAGGTAGGGTTTGCCATCTATATCACTATAACCAAGGTTCATCAATATAATCTAAACTGCTCTTCTCTCTCTCTCTTTCTCTCACTCTCTCTCTTTCTCTCTCTCTTTTTTTTTTGTGCCACAGCCAGTTTATTGTGACCAGCATTTTGTAAGAGCCTATGGCACATCTGCTGTTGAATTTATTTTTATGAGGCTGTCAGCATGGGCTGTGCTATGGTTTGAATATGTCTCCCCAAAAGTGTTTATTGGTAACTTAATCTCCAATGCAACAGTGTTGGGGGTGGGACCTAATGAGAGGTTTTTAGATTATGAGTACTCCACCCCCATGAATGGATTAATGCCTATTATAAAAGGGCTTGAGGCTGTGAGTTCTACTGCTTGCTCTTTCTCACCCTCTTTTTGCTTTTCCACTATGGGATGATGCAGCAAGAAGGCCATCACTAGAAGTGGCCCCTTGATCCTGGACTTCTCAGCTTCTAGAAATGTGAACCAAATAGATGTCATTCATTATAAACTACCCAGTCTGTGGTATTCTGTTATAGCAGCATAAAATGTCGTAAACCAGGCTGTGAAAGAGAAAAGAGAGGCCTGAGAAGCAAACCAAGAGTAGGAAAGGGAAAGGGACCCAGAAAACAGTCTAGGAGTGGAGAAAGGGAGGACGGAGCTTGCGGACGGGGACTGTGTTTCAAATCTGTTCCTACCACACACAAGTTCCAGAGTTTCCACACTGGAACATACAGTTTGGTTAATTCTTAAAGGAAGAAGATTAAGGAAATGAAAGTAGACAGGAAAAGCGGAGTGTGAGAAGCATCAAGCTTGTTGAACTAATACTTTTTTTATGTTTTCTTTATATTTGTGTTTTAATTTACCTGATTTCACACAAGGAACTTAAGTTTAAACTCATCTCTTTTTAAACTACTTTATTGAGTTACGATTGACACATGATAATCTGAACATATTTCATGTATACAACTTAATGAATGTGGTGATAGGTACACACTATGAAACCATCACCACAATCCATGCTATAAATATATCCATTCTCTCCAAAAGTTTTCTCCCACCTCACTTTATTGATTATTAATGTAATCAATAAGATTATAAGAGCACTTATCATAAGACCCACCCTTTCAGCAAATTTTTTAGTTTACAATGCAGTATTGTTACCTATAGACACTATAGATCTCTAAGACTTACTTATCTTGCTTAGCTTAAGCTGTTTTTTCCTTCCCTACATGAGGCCTATTTTCAGATAAAAAGGCTAGTATTCTAAAAGTGTCTTTGAACCTTTTTTTCCTCTGATACAGACTTAATGAGGTGCTGGGGAAAAGTGACTGACCCCAAAGGATTTCCTCCATTATGTCTTGCCTCATTCCAAGTCCTGACACACACCTCTCTCCTCCAGCCTTGGTGAGGTGAGAGCCACTGAGCTTTTCATAACAGCTCCATGTTCAGGATCTTGTTAGCTTAAGGAATTACTTCTAAAGCTTTTCGGTAAATGCCTGAAAAAAAAACCAGCTGCTGTATACAATACCATAGTACAGATTGCTCTTCAACTATGTCCATTCTAACAGGCAAAGAATTATTGAGTGATAGAGAAATTGCCCTTTCACAATTGCTAAGCATTTGCTGGTACGTGCAGGGACAAGTGACAATGTGATTATGCATGTGTGGGAAGATAGTTTCTGCCTGGGTTATAAATCATATGGGAAAAATATTATGAAGAAAGGTAAGGTTGCATATAGTGATAATAATAATTCATATTGAAATAAAATTGTGGTAGGAGTACAGTAGTTGTCATGGTGGTAGCTACTACTATATTTTTTTGAGGGTTTACTGGATCCAAGGACTCAGGGTAGGTATTATTCTAATATTACTTTTTGAAATTATAACAACAAGGAAATTGAGAATCAAAAAATTCAAATAACTTGCCTTAGTTCATTCAGTCTTTTAATTAGCAAGCCAAAGATTTACATCAGATATGTCTGATACCAAAATCCATTTCCTCTCTCTTCCCTCCCCAACCCCTAGACTCTACAGGGCTTACCTCAAAGTCTTAATAGCACACAAACAGGAAAGGGGTGACTCAACTGATATTTAGAGAATGTGTGTCATCAAATGTCTTACCTACTAGCTGGGTGAAACATAATCATTCCTTGTCCAGAGTTTTACAAATTTGGGAGAGTCTGTCTAACTCTCCCGATTTCGGGCTGCTGTTGTTTGGAAAGAGGTACGTCCTGCAATGGTGCATAGATACAACTTGAAAATAACATGGCTGGTAAACTTGTTCACAGTGAAAACAGGCACAATGATTTCCTACTTAAAACAAACAAAACTTTGCCTCAATTCTTTTAACATTGTTTGTAGTCCTCAGCGGGAAGTAAAGTTTAATTCCCATTAAAATAAGGAAATGTTCAACCTTCCACTGGTTTATATTTCTCATCATCATAAAGTAGGGAATAAGGGTAGGAGGAACACCTGCAAACAATAACAGCTTAGTCCTTTACTGGTCTTTCCCAAACTGTAACATTGCACCAATCTGTGATACCTCACAGCTGATATTTCAACTTAGATATTTTTAACACTTTAAATTTAATATGAAACTTGGAAATTATTGTTTTATTTTTAATAGTTTTTCAAATAGTATTCAGATAGCACAACAGAAAATAACATGCTCTGTAAAATTTTCATTAATTTATATATATAAGCTTTCATACCAAATTCTCATCTGTAACTATATTAAAATTAAGTTCAAGTTGATTTTTTATAACTTTATATTTTCATCTGTAGTCTACCAATCACAAACAACCTTTTGGTTTGCAATGGCCCACACAGCGGATTTCTGAAAGAAAACGATGGGCGAAAAGCCTAGTTATATTCATGGCTTGTTAGATCATCTTTAAAAGTACTTGTACATTACAAAAGTGGCAACTATTCATTTGAGGGAGGGTTCTGAACACCTAGCAGAGTAAACACACTTTCCATATTTATTTCTTAAAGGATAATGAGTGTGACAGCAGCAACTGCTCTTCCCAAAGTCTTCCTAGTAAGAAGGCATGAACATTTAGGTTACTGAATTTCTTTTACTGTCTCAAGAAGGGACAGTAAACTCAGTAATTTGGGGAAGTGTTTGTGTGAATAATTCCCATTAGGAAATTAACTTAAATCAGAAAGTCACTTAAAAGGATTACAAGTTAAAATAAAAATGGTTGGAGTATTGTCAATGCATCTAGTTCACCATCCACCCAATTAACTGGATTTGTATCAATTACTCCTTTAGATTGAAAAAAAAAATTTGGAGCAACAAGTAATAAAGGATAAAATATTTAAATCATCTTTACACATGAATCTTGGGGTACTGTATCATGATAGTGGTTGGGCACAAAATGATACCTGCATGAATTCAGTGACAAAAAATTATTAATATCTTGACTAGTAGAAGAGAGTACTCACTGGGACAAACATAAAAAGTAGCAGATGTGAGGAAAGGATGTTAAATACATCCCTCCGAAGGCAGTTATCCAGCTCCCTAAAGTTTTCTTGGAACTCAACTTCCTTTCAGAGCTGCAGCTTCTCTTTTGGTCTTGAATTTCCACGTTTTGTTTGGGCTTCCTAAGAAGTAAGTTTATTGGCTTCACAAGTGGATCTGGCTTTACCCTCTATGAGGTCTGCAGGGGTCAGACTTCTCCATAAGAACTTGAAAAACATAAGTTTCATAGCTTGGGTCAGGGTGGGGACCCAGAAGGAAAAAAAACAAAAAAGCTATATCCACCACATACATCTGACCTTACATCACGTTTAAGAACCACCTCATTTCTATTTAATGAAAGTGACAGACATCAAATAATCAGCACTTTCTCTGAATTCAAGTCAAGGCCAGAATCCCACATGAGAATTTTGACATGAGCACAAAATTCATGTGGAGTTCTTGTTGACATACCAATCCCCAGGGTCCTACTGAGTAATATGCTTCCAGTGGAAAGTCTTCAGGATTTATATTTTAAGTAAATGCTTCTATTACTGTGTATAATCTAGCACCTTTAGGAAACACTAGGCTAGTGAGACTCTTAACTCCCCTTAACTTCCCCCACCCTCTGCCAGTTTTAATGCAAAACCAACGTCAGAAATGTTCAGACTCCTCCATGTTTTTGACCGAACTGGGAAAAACCCTGAAACCTTGTGAACAGTCTAACATATCTCAAGAAGTTGCAGAAACCTTTAGTATAAATGGCATAAAAGATGTGTAGTCAAAAAATGTTAAAGTTATGAAGGACCTTTGAGAATAATTCTGATGCTTCACGTTGCAGATGGGACTGTTCAGAGGCGTGAAATGTGCTATCTTGGGTCATGAATTTGTCAGGGGCAGAACTAGAAGTGAGCTCTCTGGACTGCAACCCATCACTTTTCCATGTGGTTATTTTACCCAACCCAGTATTTTTGGTCAGTGTCAATTCACTTTCCCCTTTGCTCTGAAAGGCTATTATGAGTAACCTCATAACAACCAACAGCTGCTTTCTCTAAGCAGCATTTGAATGCAACACTGAATCCCGAGGAGAAAATAGTTGCACAGTGCTTTCAAGTCTTTTCTACACTCTCTCCACCCACATATGTTTACATCTCTCACATTCTTAAGTGAATTACAGTCAAATGCTTCATTACAGAGACTCAGCCAGGAGGACATGCCCTGGGGAGTTTATTCACAGACAAATGTATTATTCACAAGCCTGATCTGATCATACAAAATTTGCACTATAACCACACACCCTGAGGAAATGCCTAAAAACCTAAATGATTATACTTAAAAGAATGGTGTGGATGAAAAGAAAGAAAAGCATATGAGCTAGAAGCGATGGAGCTATTGCCCGTTGGTGTGCAGGAACCTCTCAAAAGAACCTATTCTGAGCCCCTCCCTAATTCCTTACCTCCTCTAAGATACCATTTCCCTCTTTTTATAGAGTCCTCTTTTGACAGTTTTGAAGGGACGATGGAATGATGAATTAAGTAGCATTGGTGAATTATTTTAATGATGGTTTCTATGACAACAGAACAAATACTTTGTGCATACTTTGTGTTTTAAGCAAAGAAGCATTAGGCAAATAATTTTTCTGAATAGTGAATATGGTAAAAAAAAAACAAAAACAAAGACAGCTTATAGTTATTTGGTTACCATCTAATATGAAAGAAGATGTGTACATTAGCACTCCACCTGCAGATAGAAGTTGCTCTACTTAGAAAGTCAAAAACTTCATAGCATCAAAGTTTCCAGCATTCCTTGACTTGAAGAATTTAACCTAAAGTTGTACCTTTAAATTCTTTAGATCCGGACCTCCTTGAGTTCCTCCTGAAGTAGATTGTAACCTAACCTATAACATCTAAACAGAACACTTGATTTCCTGTTTCTTGCATTTCTTACCTCTGCAGGGTTCCAATGGTCCCTGCCTCTAACTGACCAGTTTAAACTGACAAAGCCACTGCATTAATTTTTGCATTGAGTATTGGTCAGCAGAATGCTGTGCAATTGATACTTCTGCTACTTCCAACTCCAGCTCTGCTGAGAGAAACCTATCTATTATTAAAAACCCTATTAGTAGTGGTAAGATTGCACTGCTTTCTCTCGCTATAGCTGCTGAGTGTTATCTAATTGGTTTTTATTACTTCGAAAACCCTGGGAGTGTGAAGCTCAAATGCACATTTGCTAACAGTTCTGTTCTTTCCTCTTGTACTCATTGGAGATGCTTTTAGATCGTTTAGATTTTGTCAGCAGGAAAGAGGGAAAATATTTGAGATCATTTTGGAGAGTACCTGGAAAGGGACTACAGACCTTAAGATTAGTTTAGCTGTGACTCCTCTGGGACTCAATTGCATGAATGCACATCACATGTGTGGCTTTTCCCATTATTATCTGAAGCGCAGGGACTTAGGCTTGCTTCCAGAATTGTGACATTATCAATTTCTCATGTGAATGCTATTGTTCGTTTTGTATAGTCTTGATCTTATTGGCATTTTGATAACTGTAAACTGAGTTCTCTATTACTATTTCTTTTATTTAAATGGAGCAACTTAATGATGAGCTCTTATTCTTATACATGCCATGTACAGAATGTATTTTCCTTGTTTTTGTGAAGTTTGCCCCATACTCCAAGGCTTGACTTATGTATATTCCATTTGATGTCTCATTTAGTTCACCATCTCTTCCTTCTTGACTTCAAAACCAGGCTTCCATGGTTACCTCCTAACTAAACTGGCTTTCTCTGAAATCATATCCAGTGCCTGCGTTCAGCTCTCATTTTTAAAAAACTCTTTACTTTGCCTTTAAAAATATGTTCTTTAGTAACTAATAAAAACAAAACTTTTTGAACACTTACTATGCATCAGATGCTGTTCTAACACTTAAAATGTATAGTTAAGTCACTGAAGTATTTAACTACCTTACTGATTTTTCCTAGTATCCCGTCAGGTGAAGAGTACTATGCTCTCCAATGTATAGATAAGGACATTGAGACAAAAAGACATGAACTCACTTGTCCTAAACTTCCCACTTACTGGAGGTGCTGAGGCTCCATTCTGGAGGGTTTCAGAGGTCCACGAGTCTCCGCTTCCAGCGAAACTCTGTGCTGCTGCTCAGAATTCCCTCTGAGTTGTCATCAGTGATGTCCTTGCCTCCCACCTCTCAGACTAGATTCAACTGAACAAACATCAATTGAGTGCCTGATAGGGGCCAGGACACGGTCTCCTTCTCGGTCTCTTCTTGTCCCCATGCTCATTAATTGTATTCAGAAGAGACAGATGAAAGTAAAAATTATGCAGTGGCTTTTAAGGTCTAGGAGCTTTTTTCTGGACGGGGAGAAGAGCTGTGATGGAAGCACTGAGGAGCAGCACTGTCAGTCCTGCCCTATCTCTTAATCATTAATAATTTCATACGATCCTCTCAATGCACCAGTCTCATCACCATCAATTTTTCAATTATTCCCTTTTCTTTGACCTCCAAATCTAATCAGTTACTAAATGTTACTAATCTCCCCCTTTAAAATTCATCTCCCCAGCCATAACTCTACCCTAGGTCCTAATCACTTCACTTCTGGATTGTAGTGTTGGCATCTAGCACACGTTCTGTCCATTCCAAACCAGTTATCCATGATCATAAGCTCTGGCCCCCAGAGCACTTTGAATCATCTTCTGTAATCCAGGTCAGATACTAACTCCTCTCTGAAGTCCTCCCAATCACTTCACAGACTATAACCCCTCATTCTGCCCCTTTTGGGACCAGTGAAATAGTATTCACACGTTTGTCACCTCACTGCAGTTTAAATTTCTTGTGGCCTGGCCTGTCTGTTATTCTTCTTTTATACATAACATTCAGCAGTATGTCTGGGACACAGTAACCATTTCTATTCATTCTTAGATATGCAAGTGAATGTAGAAACAAATGAATAGATGAATAAATAAATGAAAGAAAAAAATTACTGACTTGGCAGGGACTTTCACTTGCCTACTTTACCAAGTTCACACTTCTCAGCAAGGTCACAAAAGCCCACTGATCTATACTTCCTTCCATTGAGTTTGTCTCTAATACCTGTTGGCTTGGCCCTGGTTTGCCTAATGGAATTCAGTTCTCTTCACATAGAATTTTTTTTTTTTTCCTTTCTATATTAACAGTTCATGGCATTCTCTTTTCTTGGAACATCCTTTCATATACTTCATCATTTTCTTTCGGTACAAAGTCTGCTCCAATTATCTCCAATTCTGCCTCTTACCATTCCCTTATTCACATATGATCCCAATAGACTGATGAAGATCTATTGTTTTCATGGGAGTTTTTTGAAGCTAGGGTTTCCACCAAAGTGTTGGTATGATGTCATTTAGCATATTTGGCATCAGATGTCCAATGACCAGGATTTCAGTTTCAACTCTAATAGGTGACCTGTCTATGAGTCTCAGTATACTCATTTGATAAGTGAAAATTAAAATGACTAGCTACTTCATGCAATTTTTGTAATAATTAAAGGAACCTCTCTATGTAAAAGATGCATTAGCCAAATATCTTGAAAATAATTTTTTCCACTATAAAGTATTACATAAATTTTCTTTGAATTATTGTAACTACTTTTTTAAGACCCAAGAGCAAAAGGCAAACAAAGAAATAAATGTTTGTTATATCATCATTGTATTAATTAACTCTATAGTTCTCATGTCTCTGAAGACTTTATTTTACATATCTCAACTAAATTAACCTTCCCGACAAATAGCCCTTAGTTTATTAACAAAAATACTGTCTATAGAGACACTTTATTATCTCTAAACCTTATAACAATCCTGAATGGTCAAAACCACCATCCCCCATTAACAGTTGAATAAACTGAGGCTCCAACAAGGCAACCAACTTTCACATGGTGACAGGACTAGTAAATTTGGAGTTGGGATATTAACTCAAGGTTATCTCCTACAGAAGTCCACATGCTGTTCACGGTACCAGGATGCTTCCGTGACTGTATTACGTTATTTGTTTGTGTTTCTATAAAGAAATACCTGAGGATGGGTAATTTATAAAGAGGTTTAATTGGCTCAAAATTCTTCAAGCTGTACAAACATGGCACCAACATCTGCTTAGTTTCTGGTGAGAACTTCAAGAAGCTTACAATCATGGCAGAGATGAAGTGGAAGAACAGATGTCACATGGTGGCAGCAGGAGCAAGAGAGAGGTCCCATACTTTTAAACAACCGAATCTCACGTGATAACTGAACAAGAATTCACTTATTTCCAAGGGATGGTGCTGGACCTGCTCCCCTAATCCAATCACCTCCCACCAGGCCCTACCTCCAATATTGGGAATCACATTTCAATATGAGATTTGGAGGGGACAGACATCCAAACTGTATCAGTGAGAGAGGATTATTCCTCATTTTTGCCGATAATCCCATTTTAGAATAAATGTAGCGTCCCTGTAGGTGGCTCACATGATCCGAAAGGAGACAAAGGAATCACATGCCAATCTGGGTGTCTCATGTGGGGCATTGTCCTGTTGGGGTCAGCAGGTTGGCTTCTTGCCATTCAGGAATGATGCCTTTTATAATGAGGAAGTTAGAGAGATAATTATGGAAATTAATTCCT
This sequence comes from Homo sapiens, assembly GCF_000001405.40. Lineage (NCBI taxonomy): Eukaryota > Metazoa > Chordata > Mammalia > Primates > Hominidae > Homo > Homo sapiens. Next base: position 117,701,766 of record NC_000003.12, on the reverse strand, counting down.
GAACTGCTGTGGCCTGTGAACTCTACCAAGCAGAACTTTGAATATCAAGGGCAGTGCTGCAATGCAGATCAGAAATGAGAAAACCTTACTTTAGCAGTCATAGGGAGTAAACTGAACTGTTTTTATACAATCCCATGTCGTCTTATTTAACGTGTGTGTGTGATTGCATTCATCCTAGCATTCCTGTCACCTGATGCATACAGATGGCCTATTAACCAATTAACTTATTGGACTAAATAGGCTAAATCAAACTAGATGACATCAACTTGCTCTACAAGGATAGGACTAAATTAAGTGTGTTTTAAATGCCAGTGAGAATGATTGGACGATAAAATAAAGAAGAGATGAAAAGAGAAAACAGAATTCAATCCCTAATCTACTCATTTCTTCCCATTCCCAGAAAATGCCTAATCTATTTTAGATTAGAAAATACCCCAGCTTGCAAAAGCTTGTCAGCCCCATATCACATGTTACACTAAGTCAATGTCGAGCTCACGACATGAAGAAATTCAAGCTCAGTGCTGAGAAATGCATTTTCTATGTTTTTAAATATTTTTTGGCCACGATCTGATTTATTTTCAACCAATCCAGATTCTTTCCAGCCCTGTGGTTCAGCTAATATGAAGAGCAATAAGCATATTCCAAATATGGATTCTGAGAAGTCACTTCAGAAACATTCTTCCTGGAATTCTGTGTGATTCAGAAGGAAATGTCCACAAACTATATCCATATAACACTAAAAAATGGAAGAAGAAACAACCACGTACTTCTATTTTCTAATACTGCCAAGGTGCACAACTCCTATAATTTTCAGAGACCCACACTATAATTCACTCTCTGTCCTATGATCTGCCTCTTTTCTCTCTCTCATTAGATTTAATTCAGTAATCACACCCTGCAAGCCATTCAAGCAGAAATACCCTTGCTGATTGCAACTTTCACCAGCTAGTCCATGAATATTGCTGTAATGTGTATATATCTATGTGTATGTGTGTGTCTGCCTGCGAGTGAAAGAGAAACTATTGCCTTCATCAGCAGCTGCCTCCTCTCTGTGTCTTTAGTTTGCTCTCTCTACCTATTACTCTTTTCCCGTTTTGTATACATGGGAGATGTAATTCTATTTCTCCAGAGTGGCACTACCAGTAGATGAATCCTCCTTCCTCACTAGTCATCACTCAGTATGAAATTTTGTTTCCTCTTTTCACTTTTTTCTGTGGTTTTAATTACTTGTCCCTGAACTAAACATAAACCATCTTCCCTTGAATGTTTTAGTGACCCCGTTGTGCTTTTCAACTGAGATTTTACCCTAAGCATTTTCCCCTTTCATTTTAATGTCTGTATATGCTTGCTTTTTGTCCACATTGCTTTTTGAATTTTTCACTTATTCCTCAATTTGTTTTCTGTATGTGATTATCGCTTGATTATACCCAAGTGAACTTATGAACATGGTTTCTTTTTGCTTCCCTTACCTCATGTGTGGCATGTATATATCAATTCCCATTTCCTCTGGGGGAGGTATGAGGAGTAGCAGTTGCCGAATGGTATGAGCATTTTAGTTTAGAAGATGTATCTGTATCTCTTCACTGCCTTGTTTTACATCTTTATGCATGAGCAGCATTACTGAAACCGAGCTAAAGCTTACCAGTCTAAAGCTGCACAGTGCACATCTCGTTAAAAGAAATGGTTTGGGTTCCCAAATGAATATGCAGAATTGATTTGTATGGTGGAGAAGTTAAAGGGTCTAAAGGGCTAAGACTTTGTATTTTTAATAATTTTCCTTTATGCAAGAGCTTAAAGAATTGTTGATTTACATTATAAAGGATCAAATAGAAGCCATAGCATTTTGTACCATCGTATTGAACAATGAGACGAAAGATTCTAAATTTATGTTGTGAAGGAAAAGCAAAACAAGCCACAAATCTCAAAGGTTGTGCCAACGTCATGTGTGGCAAGGGCAGTGCCACTCATTTGACACCCTTTTGCTTTGTACTTCGTGATCCGGCTCTTGTGTGTAGCCTCCAGCTCTGGTCATATCATTCCCTGTTTTCCCTTTCCAATATTCAATTAATGTGTTCTCTTTCTGTAGTTAGAACTGATAACAAAACATGGTGAGAGAGAAGATAGAGAAATGGGAGAGGGGAAAATGTACAGAACACAATGTTCTGGAATGTCCTAGTCACACCTATACTTTTAGTAAGTTTCACTTATTTGCACAAATTTGGTTTGGCATATACTTTTATCTTGCATTGATTTATATATATTTATATGTATTACATATCATGTATGTATATTTTATATATATATTAGTAAGTGAGGGATAAGCAATAGGAGAGATAAGAATAAGTACATGATAATAAACAGAGATCACTTCTTCATTCATTTATTTTAAATTGACAGAAATAATTTGTGTTTTTATCGTGTACAACATAATGTTTTAAAATGTGTATTTGAAATATCTATATACATTGTGAAATGGATAAATTTAGCTAATTCACATGGTTGCTAATTTACATAGTCATCATTTTTGTGACTTCTGCTTAATATCCTCTGTTTTAGTATTTTTCAAGAATATATCACAATGCTGTATAATATATCTCTAGATGAACCATTTCTTCTTAATGAGATAAATTAATTACGTGGACACAAAATCTGTACTATCAAATATCCCTCAAAAATATAGAGAAGAAAAACATACTTTTGTCACTTCTTTATCACTTTTTAGGAGATGGAACCTAAGAAAATAAGAGTGAGGGAAAGGGAAGCTAATATTTTTGAAGCATCTACTATGTATTCAAATACAGAGTTGGCTGCATTCATATAGAATAGTTAATTTAATCCTCTCAATAGCTCTAAAAATAAGTGTTGCTAGCCCTGCTTTTATAGCTACTGAAATTGGGACTCATATAAATTAAGTCCTTTAAGCTGTAAAGGTCCATCACACTAGTAAATGAGAAGAGCAGATTTGATTTCAGATGAATTGACTTTTAAAATATTTCTCTTTTTTTCTTTCTAATTGTTTGAAGAAACTTCTTTTTCTATCTATGAATAAGTGCTTTCTCTATTGATCATCTTAGGCTATCTGTGGGTAAGAATGATATAATATATGATGTGTGATCCTTTGTTTTCTCAGCCGAGGAAATTAATGTAAAATTCTGCTTGTCCAAAACACTGTTTACAGAAGTACAGAGATTTCGTAGCTGAGCAGTTTTCTGATTGTGGATCCTACCTGATTACCTGAGGTTGATTAACAATATTGTGAATTCCGCCCTCGACACAGGGAAGAGGAGCCCTGTGCTGGGTCTCGTATTAATACTACTCTGTCTGATCCTTCCATAGACTCATCACTCCTCATAGATGAATCCAACATCTTAAAGGGGCTCCCACCTGGCACCTACCATCCTTCTTCTAGACTATCACCTGTGCATCCCAGAATTCCCTGCCCTAGAAAGTCCCAGACCCATTTTTCCTAGGTCTGCATTGGCACAAAGACTGACCAAGGAAGGCTTGCATGGGCTGTCCCAGACTCCGCACATGAGAGCAAGGGGCCTCACAAAAGTTTGCAGTATAGAACTGAGGCTGGGACAGATTGAGGAGAGAAATCTGTGGGCGTGGACCAGCGGTCAGAGGCAACTCTTTCATTTCTACCGTCCTCACACACAGAATTTCAAGGAGTTGAAGATTCTAAATTGATACTCAGTCTTCTAGGAGGATGGAATGATATTAAGTGGTACGTAAGGTTCCCCTTGTAATGTTGCCCTGGGCCTCACATATATATAAAAAAGGCCTGAATAGCATACTACTCTGATTTATATTCTACAAAGGAGAAAAGATCTTACCCTGGCACTTTCAACTTTTATTATAATTTTAAATAATGTATTATGATGCTTGTTTCTTCAGCTCTTGTTTATTATAATTGTTTATCATAATTTTAAACAATTTATTATGATGCTTGTCTCTTCCAACCTTGGGGAACAGGAAAGCACAAGGAGCTTTCTGGTTCTGACCTCCTGGAAGCAGGATCCCCTGAACACGGGCATGCCCACGCATATGCCCCCCATTGACAGGCATAGCGGGTAGCTCAGCTCCTCCTCCTGGATTCCATAACCACATGATTGCTTAGGATTGGGCATCTTAGCTTCTTCCTTTATTGATGACCTTTTAAAATGGTGAAAATTAAATACAATGAATGCATAATGGTAAATACAATGTTTGCCACAAGAACACGTTATCTCACAAAGTATAATAGATACCCAATAAATGATAACTTTCCCCCGTCCCCTCCCTTCTGCCAAACCAACACTTTACATTAGCTAGGAAACATGAGTATTCCATACTGGGATCAGTTGATGTTTTTCTCCCAATCTCTCTTCAAGTTCCTTTAGCTCACACAGTTACCACTCTCCACCATGTAATCAACAGAAGATGCTAATGAGGCGTTAGATGCCTTTTTATCAGGTCCCTCACCAATCACCCTAAATACCCAGCTCCACTCAAGAGCTCTGTGCCATCCTGCCTTTTCTTGTCTTCACCCTTTGTTTCACTGTTTAGCTCCCACCCCCAACCCCCATGCACTCTCTTTTCCCGAAGTGCGGTCACTTCATCTCTGTCAGGGAGCTTTTAGTCGGATGAATGGAAAACATTTAATCAAGAGACCTGTCCTGAGTTGGTACAAAATGTCACAGCCCATTTGCTTAAAAAAATAAAAATAAAGTCATCTGCTCTGTTTATCTCTAGCTTTCCACAGACAATGGCAGTTGCTGATTTTAGTCTATTGCAATGAAGTGTGGCTTAGCCTGACCCCCCCTGCTTTTCTCACACATGAATGCAGAACCGAATCCTGAGAGAGCAGCTTTGCCCATTGCTTGAACTAAAGGTGCAGGAGCTTATCTTCCCATAGAGGATTTTCCATTTCTCATTCTCTGCTTCTCATGCTCTTAGCATATAGACGGAAACTTAGATTTGGAATTGTGACTCTTCTTTTTTTCTGCGTTAAATCAGCCTGCAGTGTCTGATACATATACTTGGGTACATTTCAGATTTAAATATGCAATACCTTTGCACAGGGCAAGATGGAAAGAAAAGTATGCCCCGTGGTTCTGGCTGTGTTTTGAAACTAAGATTGAAGGAAGGAGAGTATATTCAGAGGCAAGTATTCTGAAAATACTATTAATAGAGGCATTTCTTTGTTGATTTCTTAAGCAGCCTCTGCATTAACAAGAGTTTTAGTATTGGGATAGCTTAATGAGGTGCTAATGAGGGAAGAAGAACTGAGCCCTCTGTTTAGTCCCTCATACTGCATTGTTTACAAGGGGTCAAAGGTTCTTTGCATATTTCTACATGAGCAAAATAATTGCAGTACTTTCTAATCCCATTTCAACTATCACCCTGCCAACCTGTTTTCAGCGTACACACACACACACACACACTCACACACACACACAGGCACACACACACTCAACTTTATACAAAGTGGACTAGAAGTGGATTACATAAAATAGAAGGAAGCCGATCCCCTCATCTCTATTCATTTTTCCTAGCATTAACTGCTGACTTATTGACAACGTATTTGTGCTCAGCTTGAGTCAGTCAAATATTTCATTCAGAACCGACAGGTTACAATCTACCTATTGGCATCCTGCTGGTATCACATGTGACACACTTGTGATAGCTGCTGCAAGCTGGACATGTTCAAGATGTGCATCTTTGGAAAGGCATTTACCAAAGACTGTTAAACAACTTTACACTTATGAAACAGGGCTTGCTTTAAGCCCAGAACAAAAAAGTTTGAGCAATGTCAGCAGCACTGACAGCACCTTTGGACATGAAGAACAAGGCAGTAACAAAGAATAAGCACACAACCCACCAAATAAAACTCATTTATTTAATCAAAAATATACTATTAGTACTTTACACAATAAAAAAATTTTAATATTAATATGACTTAAAGATACGTTAATTCAATCCAATCATTCAAATTTGTTTCCTGGGTAAGTAAATAATATTCAATAAGTTTGTATTGAGTGTCTACTATGTTTTATTAGGAACTTATTTTGTACCTGGATCTGTGTGATATGCTACCAAATATACTAGGGTAACATTTTAGGTAAGCTAGGACTTTTTTCTACAAAAACAAAACTATGGTAATTTCTTAGTTTGGCATGATTATGGTTTATGAAACACTTTCAGTTGCATTGTTTCAAGATAACTGTGCTAAGGGCCACACAAATACTTCAGTGACTCAGAGGCAGCAATCCCATCCAGTGTGGAAGCATAGAGACTGTTAGGAAGAAGTTGGCAGTCAAGCTTGGCCCACCTTTAAGAAAGAGTAAACGGATGATGAAAATCAGTTCCTCTGGTGGACTTGGAAGCTGTGTTTTATAGGTCTAGAAAAGCCATCTAGATTAAGAAAATTCTGGGTCATTTTCTGAAAGGAGTCTCTAGTTTTATTTAGCTGGAATTTTGATCATGCTGCTTTCAATGCTATGTCATGTAGGGTCTTAAGTGTCAGGTAAAGTAATTAGGATGTAATTGAAAGTAGTGAGTGGCTAATGATGGTTTTTAAGCATAGAATAATAAGATGATAGCTGTATTCTAAAAAGATTAATCTGTCAGCAGTGTGTAAGAAGACCATGTATTTCAGGTACGGGGCAACATGTGTCTCAATTATAGTGATACTAGTGTGGAAAGAATTCTGTTTTACAAATCAGTTCTACAGGCTGTCCTGTCACACCGAATGTGACAATATAGGGAAAGGAAAGCATCCAAGAAGAACAGGAGCTGTACAGTTTAGAATTGAGGACTGAAATAACGAGGGCAAATCCTTGAACAGCAAGAGACATTCAGAGAAGAACATGTGGAGAGGAAGGAGTAAATAGCTTGAGGTATTTGAGGAATGAATGTTGCACCCACGTAAATTTTACAAAAGGCATTCAGAATCATGGATGGAGGTGGTCTAGAGTTGGTATGGAGATAAAGACTTCATGCCTATATTCAAAGATATAATATTCAAATAGGAGAATTGATGAAATCCCTAAGGAAAAGACTACATACAGTGAAAACCAGGGGTATATGACATACATTAAGGGGCACATATATTTGGGAAGTAAAGAAACATAAGGCATTGGTGAAACAATCATAGGGAAGGAGATTATCAAGAGAAAAAAGTCACTTCAAAGGTAAAGCAAGTAACACATACTAAAGAGAGAAAGAATGGGAACCCTCCCCAGACAAGTAACGGGACTAGATTTTAAGGGGCTTTTTGGAGACTTTCAAGTCAGCAGCTTTAGAACAAGTAGAGAATTCAGTCATGTAAGTGATGAGGAATGAACAAGGGAAGAAAGTTGAGGAAGTGTTTGTAGAATATGGATTTAAGAGCCCTTAGATAAGGGAATGGAGAAAGGAGTAATTTTATGAGATTGAGCCAATGGGAGCTCTGTGTGTGTGTGTGTGTGTGTGTGTGTGTGTGTCTGTGTCTGTGTGTGTGTGTCTGTGTATTGTTTGGTTGCTTGTTTTATCTGTTCTGAAATTGGGGCAGGGGAGAGATGGAGAGAGAGAGAAGCTTTGATGGATCAAGATTCCTTAGGAGGCCAGGCGCAGTGGCTCACGCCTGTAATCCCAGCACTTTGGGAGGCCAAGGTGGGTGGATCACGAGGTCAGGAGATCGAGACCATCCTGGCTAACATGGCGAAACCCCGTCTCTACTAAAAATACAAAAAAAAAAAAAAAAATTAGCTGGGTGTGGTGGCGTGTGCCTGTAATCCCAGCGACTCAGGAGGCTGAGGCAAGAGAATCACTTGAACCCGGAAGGAGGAGATTCCGCCTTCCAGAACTGCACTCCAGCCTGGGTGACAGAGAGAGACTCCATCTCAAAAAAATAAAATAAAAATAAATAAATAAATAAATAAATAAATAAATAAATAAATAAATAAGGATTCCTTAGGAAACCAAGGGTTACATTTAACATTCTCAGGGAGGATATTAATTAAATCTGAAAAGAAAATGGGTTTTTATTTTTCATTTTTCAGTAAAGAGAGGTAGATTATTGTAGATTAAAGAGGAATCTAGAGATGGAAAGGAAATGTACTGTTTTTGTTCTTCAAAAGAGCTTTTGATCTAGGAAAAGACCAGGAAGACCATAGGTCCCTACAGAGAAAGGGGTAACAGGGAAGAAAAATAGAAAAAGAGGAGACTTGAGCCTCATGCATATCTTTCCTATTCTTTGATTTTGCCTAGAGTCTTAAATGCTCAACATTTTGTCAGACCTAGTGTTCTTAATTCAGCCAGGGAGATCAATGGGCTATATCACTGCCAACAATCAACATAGCAGGATTGTCCCTGCCCACTTCAGCGGCCATAGCCTCAGACACACAGAGGCACCTTCCCCTAACTCCAACCTTAAAAAATATCATTACTAGTAAAATTAAACAAACTTTAGTGCTTTATTTTAAAATGGAATACACTATACAAATAAAAATACGTAAATATTTGTTTAGAAGGGGAAAAGCGAGAGAAAAAGATGAGAGTGACTTAGCAGGAGGATCTAAAGCAGAAGGGAGGTAAAATGGAGACCATTCCTTCAATCTTCAGGGAAATAATCTTTTTTTTGGCAGAGAGGCCAATGTTTTATTGCTATTGAGTTTTAAGCTAATTGGAGTAGGAATTTTCTCTATTTCTGCCTTAAGTAAAAATAAAAATTGTTGATGGCAGGAATGTCTATGTCTTAATGTAGAAATTTTAGTTGCAAATGTACACCATCAAAGTAAAGCTAGTTTTGACATTCCTGAGGAAAGCTGATGTATTAGTCAGGATTCACGGGAGGAACAGAACCAAAGGAAATATATAGGTCTATAAGAAGGGATGTGTTATGGGAATTGGCTCACACAATTCTGGAGGCTGAGAAATCCCACGATATGCCGTCTGCAAGTTGGAGAACCAGGAAAGCCAGGATGTGATTCAGTCTGAGTAGGAAGGCCTGAGAACCAGAGGAGCCTGTGGTGTAGTTTTCAGTCTGAGGCCGAAGGCCTGAGAGCCAGGAGGGCAGCTAGTGTAAGTCTCAGAGTTCAGAGGACTGATAACTCAGCATTCTGATGTCTTAGGGAAGGAGAAAGTAGTCCCAGCTCCAGCAGAGAGAGCAAAGTTTCCCTTCCTCAGCCTTTTTGTTCTGTCTGAGCCCCTCAAGGGACTGGATCTGAATGATGCTTACCCATCTGAGGGCAGGTCTTTCTTATTCAGCCTGCTGATTCAAATGCTAATCTCTTCTGGAAATACCCTCAAAGACATACCCAGAAATAATCCTTTACCAGCTACCTGGGCATCTCTTTGCCCAGTCAGGTCGACACAAAGTTAACCTTCACAGCTGTAGAAAGCGACATTGACTTATTATAGCCAGAATGGTCTCAGGACTTCCTGAGTGTGTGTGACTAACTAACCCTACAGTTAATGCAAGAACTGCCCCTCATACATGTTAGTTACCTTAACAGCCCCTCATCCAGACCTGTCCAAGCAGCCTTTCTCTGAATACTTGTTTCAAAGGCAGGCTTCTCAAAGATGCAGGAATACCATTTAATCTCTAGGTTGAATAGACAGAATTCAGTTAACATTAGAGTAGTGAATTCAGTTCAAGAAAATACTTAAGCAGTAAATTCCACTGAAATCCTAGGGAAAGTTTGGACATTGCCACTCCAGAGGGGATTAGATTTCACTTGCCTAATTAACTTGAGGATGAAGATATCATCAGCAGCCAAGTTCTAAACAAGTACTTGCTCTTTGATTCAGACCTTTAAAAATTGTATATATACATTTCTTCCCCTCAGCAATCCTTTCTTCAAAACAAGGAGAAGTTTTTTTTAAAGATACTGCATTCCAGGCCTACTTAACGATCTTATCATAGCACTAATTGCTATGTACTAGTAATGTAGCAGCTGAATTTGTTGTTCCCTTCAACTCTGCAGGAAATGTGAAAGTCTGTAAAATAGCTGATGTCTTCAGTAATCATCCACATTCTGGCTAGCACTCAAGTGGACTGGGGAGACCTACTGAGGCAGGCCTATGTTTGAGTAGGATCCCTTTTCCTCTGTCTTGTATCTCAGCCAATTATCAGGAATGAGGACTTGTGCATTAGTTAGTTGTTCTATGTACATCTATTGATAGCTCTCACTGTTGAGGGCTCACAGAGTAATCTCATCTTGGCATTACAACCTCCCACTTCCTTTCTGATAACTTTTGTTTTTTAAACAATTTGCTTTAAAATTGATTCAAATCTTTATGATTAAGGCCACCTTGGTCTTTTATTGGCAGCTGCCCTAGGAATCCAAGAATTGGCCCAAGTAACCATTTGCTAGAAAGGAATAAAAGAGTCCCCTGAGGTGACTTGGGAATCTCAAAACAAATTTATAATTTTGATGTGAGACCAAGAGAACTTATCAACTCAATTAAAATTGCCCTATGATTAGCCTTCCCATAGCCCTCTGAGTGGCCAGGTCCCAGAAAGGTCAAGCAGCCTCAAAGGAGCATTTAATAAATATTTTAGTTCCAAGATAATATACATTGCTGGAAAAGGGAAGAGAGCAAACCAGAGGCAATAAGTATAGCATTCTATTCTCTTTAGTGTCTTGGAATCTTCAACAAAAGTTTGCCTTATTTTGGCTAAGTAGAGAAAATTTATGAGCCAAGCGGGCAATGGACAGCTGTCTATGTATTGTGATTCAATAGAAGGCTGGGCTGGGGCTCCGCCTCTAAAGTTATAATATTTGCCTTCTTACTATGGCATCATCTTTCTATTGGGTTTTGGCTAGTGCACTCAAATTGAGAACACAGCTTCACAGGCAGAACACAACACACAGATGCAAGGTCTCCTGATGGCAGAAAACCTTATAACGTAAGATATGTGCTTGACAGAAAGATTGTTGGTGGATTTCTAAACCCCTAATGCCATACATTGTATTTTATGAATTCAATATCAAATGCTATATTTGGATTATGGATTGCATAAAGGCCTGAACCTTCAGTAGGCACAGTATCTTGTAGTTGAACGTAGCAGGCTCAGAATAGAGATAAATAATAAAGGAATTCCACTGCTTCAAAAAGTAGTTTAAGAAACTGTACATTGAAAAAGTATGATGAAGAAGTATTTTATGTTGGTTCAAATGATATAGAAATGGAAGTATTGTCTTTTTAAAATTGATTTGCATAGAAAACACACTCAAATACCCTAACAGGGCCTTCAAAAGTAATTTTCATTAATGTTAATGAAAATAAGATTTCCTTTTTGAGTATTTTATAATGAAACTCTCATTTAAAAAAAAATTTAGAAAAATAACTAGGCCAAATTTAAGTTGGGATATCACTTAAATAATTAAGTTTACATTTTGATTAACCAAAATAACTAGAATCTATCATTCTTACTCTATTATAAAGTTTTATCTTAATTTTCATAAGGAAAAAATTACTTGAAAAAGCAATTTATTCATTTTCTTGGCTTCCATCTAAGTTATTATTATTATTAACGAATTTTTTTTTTTTTTTGAGATGGAGTCTCACTCTGTTGCGCAGGCTAGAGTGCAGTGGCGCGATCTCCGCTCACTGCAAGCTCCGCTTCCCAGATTCACACCATTCTCCTGCCTCAGCCTCTCTAGTAGCTGGGACTACAGGTGCCTGCCACCACGCCCGGCTAATGTTTTGTATTTTTAGCAGAGACGGGGTTACTCCGTGTTAGCCAGGATGGTCTCGATCTCCTGACCTCGTGATCCACCTGCCTTGGCCTCCCAAAGTGCTGGGATTCTGTAATCCCAGTGAGCCACCGCGCCTGGCCCATGTAAGTTATTAATGTCATAATGTTTTTTTTAATATTGCATGTATACATTATCTTCTGTCTCATGACAAATTTTATAAAAGTTGATTAATTTCAATGAAATTTGATAGAGTCCTGAGACATGGAGCTTTAACTTTTATAGATTTGTGTTTCATACTGACACCTTGAATCAAAATCATTTTCAATTTTTTAAATTAAATAATCTCTTACATTGTAAGTTGTGGCACAACATTTGGAATATATAGATAATATTACATCTGTGAAAAAATACATTCTTTATTCCAAGTAGATAACTTAATCGTTTTGTGGGGCCATTTGCCATTCACTGGAAAATTGAGGTCAGGAATTTGTGCAAGTATAAATGAAAAAAGGCTGAGGTTTTTTTGTTTTGTTTTGTTTTTGTTTTTGAAGACGGAATCTTGCTCTGTTGCCAGGCTGGAGTGCACTGGCACAATCTCAGCTCACTGCAACTTCCACTTCCTAGGTTCAAGTGATTCTCCTGCCTCAGCCTCCTGAGTAGCTGGGACTACAGGCACCCACAAGCACACTTGGCTACTTTTTTGTATTTTTAGTAGAAACGGGGTTTCACCATGTTGGCCAGGTTGGTCTTCATCTCTTGACCTCGTGATCTGCCCACCTCGGCCTCCCAAAGTGCTGGGATTGCAGGTGTGAGCCACCGTGCCTGGCCAGGCTGAGTTTTATACAGTGTTTCTGCAAGTCATCTGTGAAGATAATATGTAAGCTTAATAATTCTAAATATTTGAGAGAGTAAGTGCATCTCATTTTAGTTTTTAAACGCCATAGCCACCAAGCATTAGTTATAGGAAGACTGTATAGTTCAAAGCAATATTTCAAAGACCTCTAACAGGAGTGAAAATTGCATAATTCACTTGTATGTCCTTATCCATCCCTTTTCTAAATAAAAATGCTCTACTACCTGGTCCAGGGTCTTTGATTCCATAGCATAGTGGGAAGCAGGCACTAAACTGCTAAATTCTAACACCATCTGTATGACCTAAATCCTAAGAGATATATTGTTTCTGCTGCCAATGCCAGAATCAACCTCAGCTGCCAACGCCAGAATCAACCTCAGCTGCCAAATGCTAGACTGAAAAAAGAATGTAAACAGCTTGATGGAGGGGAGGATCCTGGTGCACCTGTGGTTTTGACAGCTTTTGCTGCTGCTTGAGGAGGAAACAGGTTGCCTGTTTGTTCTTCAAGAGCACTTCTGGCATCCAGGTATTATGCAGGCATGCACTGCCAGCTGTGAAAGATGCCGCTTCCTTGTCACTTCAGAGAATGATGCTTCTACAGAAGATCCCTCTTGCTATTTCATTCAGGGAGCTCGGGAGAGGAAGACAAAAAGAATCAAATGCAAAGCACAGATCATTGAAAGGGCCAGGGTCTGAAGTGAGACAACTCGTGTCACAGTGTTTTCAAACTTGAGAATGGTACAGTAAATTAGAATGACTTAATTGTAGTGATTTTAAAAAGATATGAGTCCTCTAATGGATGGATTAAAGAAAAGAATAGCAAGAAAATGCACATATACCAAATTTTGACTGCCCGTGTGTTTATACAGCCAATGTTCTGTTCTGGTCAAGAAGAAAAGTAAGTAAGATAACCTGTTTATGTCAAGACATCACAGATGAGAAAAAATAGAATATTAAATCATTGAGTCAACTTCATAACTGAAAGTTTTTAACTGAAATATATATGCTTCACAGATAATCTAACAATGTTGCATGTATTATTTATCTTATGCTTACATTAAATACGTATATACCCTAAGGAAGATTTCAAAAATGAAAGTTTTGAAACATGTTTCCTATCAATTATTAAACTTATTATAAAACTTCAATAGTTAAAATAATATGGTTTAATTGATATAATGAATCAGTAGAAGAGATATCAAACCTAAGACTCAAGAGTATGAGAATGTCATGTAGATAAAAAGGACATTTCAAATTAGTGGAAAAAGTGAATTATTCTATAAATTCTGTGAGTCAGTTGGATAACTGTTAGGAAAAGAGAAAACCTAGATCCCTACCTCATTTTTATTAAACTAAGTACCTTATATTAGGCTAAAGTAAAGATAGGTGAAAGACTAAAATATACAAATTAAATATAATCACAATAAAATTGAGAAGAAAGCATAAGTAAATATTTAAAAAACTTGAGTAACAAAGCTCATTTCAATAACGCCATAAAATTGGAAACAGCTCAGGAAAAGATTTATCAATATAATTACATAAACTCATAGAACTTTTTAAAGACAAAAAGCAGCCTATGGTAAATTTGAAAGAAAATGAAAATTAATAGAATTACTTTTAATAGTGTCATTGTTAAAGCATTCATATTTTAATATATAAAAGCTCTTCAAAATCAGTAAGGATTAAAAAATTGGTGATCATAATAAAAAAAGGCAAGGGATTTGAAATAGGCAATAGACAAAAGAGGAAACGTAAGTGGCTGGTAAACATAGATGATAGATAAATGGATGAATAAGTAATTAGGTAGCATGTGGATGCGTGGGGTAGGGGAGGGAATGAAAGGGAAAAAGAGGGAAGACAAGGGAAGAAGGGAGGAAAATCAAAAGGGAAGGGGACAAGAAAAGAAAAAAAAATTATACCATTATTCACTTAACAAATTGGAAAAAGATTTGGAGAATGGACCACTCTTGTGAACTAATATACAATATATTTTAATGTTAATTGTGCATAGATTTGACCCAGCAGTCTCAGTTCTGGAAAGTTACTCTAGCTAATATTATAGCTATAAAAATATTCACAGCAGAATGCTTTATAGTAGAAATTATAATAAAGAAAACAACTTAAATATTCATCAAGATATTATTTAATTGAATAATGGTTCTTATTATAATTGGATTTTATAGTTCCACTCAAATAATGATGTAGAATTAATTTATTTGAAAACATGCCCAGAACATATTGTTGAGTGGAAAAAAATGAAGTTGCAGAACAGAATATAAGGTATTTTTCTAGTTATATATCCTTATGTATTTATATTAATAAAACACCTAAAAGGATTGTTACCAAACAACATCAATAGTGACTATTTCTAGGTGGTAGCATTTGAGGTAATACATCGTTTTACACTGGTACATTTTTGGTATTATGTGACTTTTTCTATTAGAGTATACCATTGTTACAAAATGAATAAAAGTTGTTTTCAAAAGATAAAAAGCATTTTGCTAATTTTAATTTTTATTTGCTTCTTTTAAATATTTTTAATCATTGTACTTTTTACCTTGAGTAAAATGAGATGAATGTCTATGCATTTTTATTCTAGCAACATTTTATCTGGAATTATGTAGCCTGAAGGGAAAGCTCCATACCCTTATCTTTCTGTATTTACTGATTGTTCATTCTTGGTATATTTGGCATTTTATTTAATCTATAATTCAAATATACTCAGCATATCTCATAAGATTTGATGGTCTAGTTTATAATTACTTTCATTATTGTAAAATCTTGATTTTTGTAGGTCAATAAATAGGGTTAAAAATAAATGATTTGCAACCTCTTCTTTACAACAGCTCAAAATGCCTCCATTTCATTTTGAACACATCTCAATATCCACATAAAGGCTCTAAACAAAATTAAGTTTAATTCACTCTAAAGGAAAGCACTTCTACAGACCGTTTTAAAGAGGAGGGTAACCAATTTAAATAAATTATCAGATACTCATTTTATACAGATGAGTGCTGCTAATTACAATCAGTCTCATCTATTCCTTAAAACTAGTCCAACAAGCATGGATAAACTTCGTCAGCAGTTAGTCACTTCATTTATTTGAAAACCTTAAAACAACATGTCTTTAAAGATATTATATATTTTAGAACTTTTACTAATTTAGACTATTTTGGAGGCATCCCCGAATAACGGGGTTTTACAAAAATTCTGATTTTTACATGCTTCTTCTCATTTGATATGTTTAGTCTTTAAGCATTTTCAGTATTTTCCGGTCTACATACACTAACCTCTCTATATATTCGACCTTTAAGTCCTCAGTTGTTTCAAGTTATTAAATAGTAGTCTACCCTCAGCTATGTGTACTAGGAAAATCATCCCATCCTTCTTGCATTGTTTAATTTACTGTAATTTGTATCTTATTTGACTGTCTGAAGGTGGTGTCATCTAAAGTATCATCTCCATCCCATTTCTTACTTGGCTTGTGATGGAAGAACCAAACCAAATTGGACTAACACTTACACAATCTATAGGTTTTATAATCTATATAATCCACCTGTCCTACTTTCCTAAATTGATAATAGAAAACCCTGTACTGGTTCTTTTTTAAAAATATTTATTGTTGTCATAATTGTCATTTTTCTAAAAACTTGCATAAGCTGTTGTAAGCAGAGCAAATGGTCTGTTTATTCTTTCAGTACTTTTGATTGACTATGACTTGGCTGATATTATATTCTTTATATACACTGCTTGCTATAACAAGCCCACCCACATAAGAAACGTGCTGAGGAATTATCAATCAGAGGGATATATGTCTGTCATCTTAGATAATAGCCTAAACTTTCCACCACCTGCCCCTTTTTATAAATTTTCAAGAGCTATGATTTTGTTAGAAGATAAGCTAAGTGGACGTGATTGTACGATACTTGAATAAACTAAGTTACACAGAAAACATTTCTATTGTGTTTCTATCTACAGTATTTAGCACAGTGCCTCTAACATTATAGATACTCTCTAAATAGGTGTTGATCAAATAGATGTGTTTTACTTATGAAATTTGATAAAGATAGCCTGAAAGTGTAGGAATGTTCTTCTCAGTTATAGTTTAAGTAGTCAGGATAACAGCCACAACAGAGGACCATTCTAGAACCAGAGCTATCCGATGTTTACCAGCAGCAACACTGTAAATTTCAAAACTTGAGGATTCCTTGGGAATTCTTTTATCGACTTAGCAATTAATTTAAATCTACTGTAATTAATTTCTGAGAAACCTGCAAAAGCCTATTAGCTGGTATTTATAAACCAACTGATACTAACCTGGGAGAACCGATTGGAATAAATCAGTGTGTATCAGCTAGATATGCTGCCCTGGCATCTAGCCAAATAGAAACAGACTATTTCCAAGTTTCAGAAAATATAATTAAATTCAGCTTGAAATGCATCTAAAAGTCATTGGCTGATGTACTGGCCCATGGAAATAAATAATTACATATTGTATTAATAGAGTATCTATTTACCAGGAGTTCAAAGCACTGTTTTAACAAGCATATATTCATAATATTCTTGTAAACTAGAAAGGAGGTGCATGTTTTCTATATAATTATTTTCCCAAAAATAGTACTTTGTGAAAAGTCATTGGCAGATCAAGAGATATTCATTCTCTTTTGATTTATGGTTCAATATTGTCCCCAGTTGAACATATCACCCAGTACCTCATCATCAGTAGGACTGTGATTTTAACTTTCTTCTTAAAAAGCAAGTGGCTTCTTGCAAACAGATGATACCAATTTCCTTTCTAGCACTTTCTATAATACGCCTATTCTAAAAGGCTTAGCCTCTGCCTGAGGTATGACCACAATGTCTTCTAGCAAACCCAAGGCTCCATTGCTTCTAATCTGAAAACACATAGTGCAAATTTACCTCCCTTCCTCTTCACTACACTGTTCTCCTTCAGCTTTATTACCTCTGCCAATACACACTCATACATAGAAGGAAGCCTAACATTCATACAATGTGGGTCCTTCCCTAGGTCTGAGGTTAGAATCATGTTCTCTTCCTTTCATATTAAACTACTTGTTACCTGTTTGGACTTCTGTTGACTTTCTTCAACATGCAATCTACTTGACTACTTGGATTCATAATATGCACTTACTTCTCCTTACATTCGAAAATTGTAATTTTCAAAATCTGCCTATCCACCACTAAGATAACTCAATAAATAAACTATATAGTCCACTCCCACCACCCCCCATCCCATGCCAAGACCTGCTAGAGAGACAGAGAGAGAGAGCTCCTTGAGAGTTTTGCATCCTTAGCATAGGCTGCCCTGGTCATTCTCTCTGCTTGCAGGTGACCTTGCTACATTTTCAGCCTGCTCCTTTAGTATCCATCAAGAACCCCCATCCTTAACTAGACTCTTGCCCTGACTCATCTTGGGATTCAGTTAAATCATTATCTAAACACTAACATGGCCCCTCAAAAATGTAGGAACATCATTTACCCCTGTAGCTGCTCACAATAGCTAATAAGCTTTTGCTATAAAGAGACAGGAGACAGAATGTTATAAGTTAGTGGAATGTAGTGAGTACAGAAATACTTATGTTCAAGAATTCCAAGATAGATAGATAGATAGATAGATAGATAGATAGATAGATAGATAGATAGATAGATAGATAAAATAAAAATTTATAGATCTCAGGTAAAGGGGAAGCAATGCTATATGCAATATTATTTTTGAACCTGACCTTGGCTTCAGCTGAAAACGGTATATTGTATACTGTGGGCAATATAAGCATAATTAGAAACCAGTTTAATTTTTTAAAATTCATTGAATGTAACATCCACTTTTCTGTGCTCTTTGATTTTCAACAATGTGCATGTATTACCTTTATAACATTAAACTTAATGTTTAAAATATGCAGTGAAAATAGAAACAAAAATTAAGTAATTATTAGAGAAATTTATTCTTCATTAGAGCTCCTTATTTAAATAAGTGAAACTATGAAACCATTCTTAATATATCTGCCTAATAACTAGCCCTAACTTATATATATCTGCCTAATAACTGCCCTAACTTAGCAAGGATGTACTTCTCAGATAATCTCATGAAGGCCGTGGGAAACCGAGAAAGATGATGATGATAAATTAATACCCTCAAAATTTTCCATTAATGTATGTGAATATATATCTAAATGTTGGTGTGAAACGTCAATGGTTATGTGTTTTCCTTCTCCTTTCATTTGCAGAAGAGAAGAAAGGAAATTTGGTTTGATGTTATCAGTTTTGATTTGCTAACCCAAAAGGTCCAGAATAAAGAACAAATCATTATAAATTCCTGGCATTGCAATCATTGTGGAAAATGCTGATTTGGTTCTATTAACTCACTAATTCAATTAAAAGGAGACTAGCAAAAATCATCTTAGGAGAGATTCTGAACTCTTTACTTAAAAACTACTGTATAACCTCAGGGTTTTGCTGAAGTGGGTATTGTAGGTCGAGGAGTCTCTGATAATCTTCTGCAATTATACTTTGCTAAATGAGCAGAACTGCAGTTCAGGTAGGAAAGGTCTATGAATTCCTGGCGTCTTGGAAGAAGCCTTTTGGCCATTTGGGTGTTTTATGTAAATGTAGTTCTTTCTGGAGCTTGAGGAACTGAGCTAAGCTTAGGAGGAATCATAGACAAAGAGCAAGAAATCCCCAGGCCCCTTCAAACAGTTCTGCTTTGTCTGCAGCCTAGTTATAAGCGCTACCATTCTTTCCTTCCCTCACTCTAACACTTCACTCTAAAATGTGTCCTTTACAGTTACTGGGATCTTAATATGTGCCAGGAATTGCTTCAAAGCTTCCATGTACTAACTCCTTTCGTCTTTACAATGATGAGGCAAAAACATATTAAGTAGCCTGACCAAGGTTAAATAGCGAGTAATAGGCAGAATGAAGACTAGGACTGCAGAGCCCACTCTCCTCTACTCCTAGTGTGTTTTCATCCAATCATGAAAACTACAAACTGCTCACTGAGGGCAGACAGCAGCTTGGATTAGATTAGCTACATTGAATTTCATGGGATACTCTTTTAAAATAGTTTTATATCATTTACTTTGTATTTTGTTTATCAAACCAAATTGGAAAACAATTGTATTACCCAGTGAACCTGCAAAGTTTAATTCTGCTAGAGAATAGAATTGGCCACTTGTGAGCTATGCCAACCCATTGATAATGACGAAAGTAAGCATTTTTGAGCCTTCTTGGCCTCTTTTACATCTCTTACCATCTAAATGGCAATTGGGTGTCTTGCTGAATCTTACCCAGCTGGCAATCTAAAGTCTTGGTTATAATTCAGAATTTTTGTCTGCCTGAGTGTAATTCAAATGCAGGGCCAGATATTCTCTTCAAAGCCAAGTTATGATTAATGCTGGAAGTATCTTCTATGGAAACATGACTGGGCTGGGAAGCCTGAGGTTTGAATTCTAAGGCTGGATCCACTCCCAATTCGTTCTGCGGTACTGGGTTAACACTTTTCATTTACTGAGTCTCAACTCCCACATATGTGGAAAGACAGTTTGAAGTAAATGATCTATAAGATTTCCTTGAGCTCCAAGACTCTATGATCCTCATAGAGTTCTTAATGAAAGAAAGAAAGAACCTATTATGTACATGGTGAAAAGACAATGGTATCATTTTCTAAGACTTATTTTTAGATGACTAGGAACAAGAGGGATAACCTAATTTCTAATATTTCAAAAAAATTATTAGGACTTCCACAATGTTAAGTTCCATCTTTCATTATATGTTTTAGCTTTTTCTTTAAAAAAAAAAAATCTCCCTAGAGAGAAAGGTAAAGACAGGAAAAGGAAGGAAAAGTTTAAGTGTCCTTATATATTAAGGCTCAAGAAACCAGTTGACACTGTTTTTGTGCACTTGAATAAAACAATTTCTGGTAACAAAGTAGAACCCTACCTGCAGCATTCCTTAGCTTGACTGTGAGAAAATACAGTAATTCCCTATGTCTCAAGAAAGATCTGGGTTGTTGCTGTTCACTAGGGACATGAATATTTGCAATGATGTGCAAGGGTGTGAAGGGCCTCCTCCGAGCCATTGAAAAACACACTTCATGTCCCTGAGGTGTCAGTTTTACTTACTGATTTTAAGGAGAGGAATTGCTATTTCTATATTAAAACAAATATGTAAACGTAAATATCTTAGGTAAGAAAAGAAGAATCACCTATTAATGGTGAAGAAACACATGAATATTAATAGATTACTATCCCTACAGCAGATGCTTCAGGTGACTACAGCCAGCTCCAGAGGTGAGTTTTCTCTCTTTTGCCTCTAGGATACTTAGAAGGAAAACTCTGAGTAGCAGTGGATGTCAGTATATAAAAGATGTATTGACATAGTTTGCAATATAAATAAAATTTGAAGCTTCTCTCTTATTATGAGATGTAGTTTGGCATCGTAAAAAAGCATTTTCTTTAGTGTCAGACAGAAGGAGATCAGACTAATGGGTCTGTCACCTACTAGATTTATAGACTGGGCAATTTGCTTCATTTTGCAGAGCCTCAGTTTCTTCATTTAGAAAAAAAGTGATAATAACTTAAAAAGGTTGTCAGGAGTATTAAATTAGATAACTTAGGTAAGGTACTTTGCTCAGTGCCTTTTATAGTAAAATTCTACAATACACATCTGTTTCTTTCCCTTTTCGTCCTTTTGCTTGGAACTGTAACAGTTCCATTTTAAATTATCTTAATTCTGACAAGTAAATGTCTTTAGGATTTATATACTTACAAGCTTTCAAAGGAAAAATCTGAAATGTTGATTAATTGCAAAGATGATATCAGAAACTTTTTGTTAAAGTAGCCAACTATTTTTGTGGATTTATTGCTTTTTACTTATATAACAATACTATTCATACATACCATGCAAATTACATATACGTATTCTGTCACTCACAGACATAGAATACAGTGCTAGAAGGAATTTCAAGATAAATCCAGACATCTAGGATACCCTAATATTGCCCAAGTTGCCTAATTATTAACTCAGGTCCCGTAACCCTTGCTTACTATTCAGGTTGCTTCCTTCTCTTTCTCTTCCTTTATTCCCTCCCTTTCCTCTTCTGTCTTCTCCCCTCTTTTCCTTTCCTATCTTTTTCTTCTTTTCTTCACAAATATGTATTAAGCACCTATTATGAATCCACCTCAGAAGATAGAAAAAGACTGGAAACCTTTATTGTCCTCAGAGAGCTCATAGGTCAGTGAAGAGAAAAGCAGACAAGTAAACCAAAAATAACGTCACCTTAAAGCGAGTACAAAATTATGTGCAAAGCACTGAGGGGCCACTAGGCATGATCCATCTTCACTCCCCAAAGGCCCTGGTTTCCAAATTCTTTCAGATGTAGACTGTACCGTATTTACAGTTTAGTTCACCTCTATGATTTCATTTATTCAAGGATCCATTGAATAGAGAATTATGCTAGACATTGCCATTTATTGGCACTCATGTTGGAAGTCTGTGTGTGTGTGTGTGTGTGTGTGTGTGTGTGTGTGTGTGTTAGGTGGACATGCTCTATTAAGAAGAACAAAGATTTTAGATACAGGGCTGCTTGGATAAGAAAAGTTTCGGCATGCCTGATTTCAAAATCAATATCAAAATTGCAGTCATTTCTCAAAAGACCGAAAAATAGAATGGAAAGAGGAGATAAAGGAACATGCAAGCAACAGAAGAAAACATGTAATCAGCTATTTTATACGAGAAAAAATGCATTTTGAATAAAATCAGCAACACTGGATGAAGATTACAGATGAATAATAGTTTTAATTTTGACTTATTCAAATTAGAAACATCTAGGGTTTATTCAGTTTTTATCAATTTTGATTTTTATTTACTAATTAAGTATAGTCTTGTTCACTTGACACAAAAGTCAGAGATCAAAGCTAATTATTCCACTGGGCATGTCTACTGTGCTATTTAGAGTATATCTAAATCAGTGACTATCAAACATTTAATATGCCTGAATGTACAAGAATCATCTAATCACATGGTTGTGTATGGGTAAAGGCACTAACATGGGGCCTTAGATCCATCTCACGCAGACTCATAAAGCGACAATAGTCACAATAGAGAGACTTAGCAATTTCCTTTGGGCAGTCCTGTGTGAAAACCATGGAAGTAGTTATCATAACACTGAGATGGATAGAAAGTGACTAAGAAAGCAATCGCCCATTTTCACAATGTTATGGTGATATGACTCCCTTTCTCTTGCCAGGTTCCAAAGATCTTAAAGATGTCCCAGAAAAGTTCTAGAGTACTATCAGATCTCACACTTTGCCTTGGAAGCTGTCATTCCCCTCCATTGGCCCCACAACTGCAGTATAATCTTCAGTGACAGGAGAAAATCGACCTTGTTTGTACAGAAGTCTCAGCAGGAATAGGCAGATGCCTGTTTTTGCTGCCAAGGATGGAGGATTGGAATGGGCCCATTATATATTTTGAGGCTTTGAAGAAAAGTCTCAGGATATGTTTTCCCATTAAAATACTGTTATAAACAATTAGATTTATAGGTTGTTTAAAATCTCATTTCAGCCAATTGTAGTTTTAAAAGTCATTTGTAATAGGCACGTCTATGGATGAAATTTATCTTCTCTCGTATATTGAAGTATTGTTATTTTAACTATACCCTAACTCTTCAGACTTGGGTAAGTCTCCTTTATTTATGCTTTTAATATTCCTCATAATTTTTTAGAGCACATACAGCAGTTTTATATTACATGGTTTCGTAAATATTTGTTGTCTTCTTCATTGGATCGTAAGCTCCTCAAGGCATAGTTCATGTCTCGTTTACTTGCCTTGTACCCTCAACCTCTGTCCCAGTCCCTAGCACATAGTGCCCATGCTACAAATTCCAGAATGAATGAAAGGATGAATAAAGGAGTGAGTGTTTACTATGATTAAGGGACTGGACTAGTTGTATATTAAAATGATAAATGTAAGACACATCATCTGCTTTCAAGAAGCATACAGTCTACCTTGAGCCAGGAGTGAAAGAAGGAGAACATATATTATAACTAGAATACAGGGCATAAATGTTATGTGATAAATCATAGGTGAAAATAAAGCAATATAGCAAGAGAAGACATTAGTTATTTATAGCATAATTTTAATGGGAAAATATACAAGTTTTGGAAACCTGATTTACAAACTGAATTTTGCAACATAATGTAAGTGGAAAAATGCTCACTTATGATTTAGGTATAACCCTTCTATAATGTTCATTCATTTCAAAACTGGTATAGAAATATATTGTTGGCTGGGTGTGTTGGCTCGTGCCTATAATCCCAACACTTTGGGAGGCCAAGACAGGTGGGTCATCTGTGGTCAGAAGTTCTAGACCACCCTGGCAAACATGGTGAAACCCTATTTCTATTAAAAATACAAAAATTGTGTGGGGGCAAGTGCCTGTAGTCCCAGCTACCTGGGAGGCTGAGGCAGGAGGGTCGCTTGAACCCAGGAGGCAGAACTTGCAGTGAGCAGAGATCGTGCCACTGTACTCTAGCCTGGTGACAGAAAGAGACTCCATCTCAAAAAAAAAAAAATATATATTAGCTGGGTGTGGTAGCACAGGCTGGTAGTCCGAGTTACTCAGGAGGAGAATAGCTTGAACCAGGGAGGTGGAGGCTGCAGTGAGCTGAGCTCATGCCACTGCACTCCAGCCTAGGCGAAAGAGTGAGACTCCATCTCAGAAAAAAATATATATATATACACATATATATATATATATGAAAATATATTGTTAAACAGAGTTTAATGCCTAAATCAATGTCAAAAATAAATATTTCAGTACAGCCAAGGAACAAAATAATGATTGTATATATAAGATCTTTATCCTCCTATTAGGAAAAATTAAATTGTGTTCAGTATAGGATTAAGTGGAAAACATTACATGTATAATATTCTTGTCTTTGTGAAAAGATTGGTGAGCTTTGGAGCAGAATGAATTTGGGTTGGAACCTAACACTACTAGAGTGGTTTGGGGAAGTTTCTAATCTCTTTTATCTTTACTTGTCTCATCCAAATAAAAATAAAAGCCTACTTCTTTTGTAGGTTTTTCGTTAGATAAGATATAGTATATGTTACAGTACTTGGCAGAAACTAGGTGCCCAATAAAGATTACCTTTTATGCTAATGATTATTGTGATTAAGCGTCTACTCTTTGCCAAGAACTCTAAATTGATTACTGTAGAGGGATACTATAATATTGAATCTGGCTCCCTGCTCTGAAAAAAAAGCTTATATCTTATTCTAATAAGAGTTTTAGAGTAATCTGCAAAGACGTGAGAGCAGTAACAAGTGGACATGAACATCAAAGCATTGTAATATAATGCAAATTTGCGATTGGAATACTTCGGGGATAATCCACGAGGAAGATGTTGACTGAGCAGGATTATTCCAAGGGGTGAGGAAGCCATCTCATTAGTTGGAGAATGTTAGAAACCATGGTAGGAGAAGGACCTAAGAGTCCAAGAGAGGAACCAAACTAGTTCAGTTTGAAGAGAATGGCTGTGTTTTTTGCAACTGAGTGTAGAGTTAATGGTTTCTTCAAATGTCTGCTGGGATGGATGTCACACATGTATGTCTTATGAGTGCCTAATATAAGTCCCACCTATTTTCCTTCTCCTTCACTTCCTAACTGTGTTCCTTCCTTAGTAATCTTCATCTCAGTTAAGAACATGACTATATTCTTCAGTTTTAAACTTTAGTTTTATTTTACATTTTCCTCTCTTCTCTGCCTATATCCCCTCATCTAGCTAAGCCTCTACCTTTAGCTCCGTTCTCTGCAACTCACATATGTCCTTTTCTTTCCATTCCCACAGTCATATCCTTGGAGACGCCCTCACACCTATCACCGGAACCACCGCAACAACTTCAACTTCCTTATCACTACTACCCTCATGCAGAAATGCTGCCCGATTTGTACATGCGTTCATGCCTACTCCTTGTTCAAGCAAACTCTGCAGATTTCCTATGGCACACAGGAAAGAAAAAAGAACGATAATACATTCCTATGTTTGCATATCCAAGTTCTCCAAAGTTCAGAGCTAATTAATCTTTCCTTTCTTATTCTCCATTGCAAACATTTCTCTTCGTCTCTCTTTGCTTTGCATCCTTGGATCTTAAGCTCTGCCCATACCAGCTAATTTCCCAAACATGCCCCACATCTCTGGCTTCAAAGCTTTGGATTTTCAGGACCTTGCCTAAAAGCTGTTCTTCCCACATGTGCTTGCAAGAACTGTTTGCCATTGAAAGTCCACTTCAGAGTCTACCCCTTAAGAGAAATCTTCATAGATAACCTATGTCAAAGGAATAGATTTAACAGAACTTTATACTTGATCATCCTGTGATTTAGAATTATGCTTGAATCCACCCTGAGACTTTGAACTCTTCATGGGCAAAGGGTAATCCTTATACATCTATGAACTTTCCTCAAAGCAGAGCCCAGCCAGCATATATTACAGGTACACAATAAAAATTGAACTGTTTAATCAAATACTGAAAATCGTAGTTCAATACATGATTTATATAGTCACTTGGTTCTTTATCTGATATATTTTCATGTTTGGATAAGTCTTTTTTTTTCAAAAGTATTTAAGTTCAAAAAATGCACTTAGAAGCTAGTTTGCGTTAAGGCTAATGAAGCTTAGGCTTCACATACCCTCTTCTGCATGGTGCCCCTGCCAATGCCCTGAGAAGGGCCTAGCATAGGTTTTCATCATTACATAATTTTGCAAAATTTACAAAAGCATAATAATTAAGCTATAGTTGGTTAAGACTTCTGTGTTTTCTTATATCTATTTGTATTCATTTCTTAAATAGGGCTCCTAAAATTATACAAGAAACCGTACAAGCTCTAGGCCCGACCAGAGCAGGATCTGTCTCGTGCATGTGTGTGTGGGAAGACCTCCCCCATGGAGGCAACTGGGAGCTCATCACAATGGGCAGCTACTTAGCTGGGATTGCCTAGATCTGAGTTAAGATGACTTCACCACAATAGAAAGAGGCCACAGTTCTTTAGAGCTTACACTCATCTTGTTAACCCTCCATGAGTCTTATCACCTCAATATGCAGTGCTGTTGGTAGGCCAAGAGGCTTTCATTTGACAGGACTGGTGATGCTTATATTGGGTCCGTGGCTTTTCCATCTGTGGGTAAGTCAGTGGATCTCAGAAACTTGGCTGGGTTATACCTGGAGGAGACACCTTATGAGTTCACCAATATGACTGCCATGTCAGCATCAGCAGAAACAAAGGCACTAATTCCAGCATCTGGTTCTCCTAAGTATTATGGAGGATACCAACAATGGGAAAATTGGACCCCTAATCTGAAACTTCATCCTCATTATTCTGAATGAACGAAAACTCTTAGAACCACAAAATATTGCTGAAAATGAGCTGGGAGTTGCTGGCATCTGTTTGAATAGCAGAACCACCACACAGGCTTTAAAAAGCCTTGAGAAAACCATTGGTCTCACAGCTGCTGACCTTTAGAAGAGGCTGGATGCTGAGACTGCAAAGGAACCTCCTGGTCAGAGACAAGAGCCACAGTGCTCAAGTGGCTTTGCAGAGTGATGCCACAGCTAATGGCCTCATTGGCGTGGTCAAAGAAAATGCGGTAGTTTTCTCTGTGTCTGGGCGAAATCAGATTGAGCATATATCCACAAATAAGCTGGACATTGTCCATACAGTGACTCATCAGAGACTTATCTCTACTCCCAAGCAATGCATTGGAGAGGATCTGTCACTGGTAAAGGTTTACACCAATCCCAAAGGCCAACCACAAAACTGTACCTCTCTAGTAGTGCTCTCTGATTGAAGGTCACAGTGGATAAAAATATTAATGAAGGTTCACAAACGAAACAAAGCAAAAACAGAAACAAAACCAAAAAACCAGTGGCTTCTATGCAGTGACCATGTCCCCTGCCCCAAGCCCTGTCTTGGCTTTGACAGCTGCTGGCCCAGGACATAGAGGAAGAAATCAAGGCTCGTAACTTTATTTTTCTCCACTTTAACCAACCCTTGAATGCTGAATTGCATAAAAGACCTGCTTTTTTATGTGGCCAAAAAAGTAGTTGTATTACATAAATAAGTACATCACCAACTAAGTTTCTATGTAAAATATTTTCAATTCTTGGAGTGTCTTTCCTCTTTTCTCCTAACTAGGCAATGAGTTAGACAACATAAGCAACTTATGATACAGCCTTTTACTCTAAACCATTTGAAATCAGCAAAATATAAAGACTGATTGCAATAAACCAAAGAAAAATGTAACATTACGTTTGAATGAATAAATAGTAGTATTCTGGTACTCAACATAGACAAAGAGATCTGTATTTTGCCACCTAATCATTATAAATAGTAAATATAGTTCAGTCTCAGTGAGACAAAGAGGGCTAAACTATAGTGCTCCTGAGAGGTTTTGGTACACAATCTGGCAAGTGACTATTTCATTGTTACAGCCCATAATGGGGGTAGTAGATGTGTGGATGTGAAGTCAGCATTTCTCCTGCTGTTGGCACATGGGGAAGCAAGATTAATAGCATTCTTCTATTGTTACTGCTCTAGTGGGGAATTGTCATAACCAACCACTTGTAACCTATTACCCCAAAGAGGATTTTCAACGTAAAACCAAACTGTTCCATTTCTACAGTACCACAAGGCTGTTTCTAACCACTGACCGTTTGATTGAACATAATTCAAGAATTTATTGAATCAGTTGAAGTATTCAGTTATTTTTCTCTACTTAATGAAGGGAGTTGTCTTTGTGGAATTTGAGACCAAAGGTGCCTATTAGTATAGATGGTCAGTGCATGGTGCTAATAAAATCAAATTCATCATTAGAGTCTTACGTTACAATCATATAATGCTTTACAATTAAAAAGAAATGCCACATTAGTGCACTTTGAGCCTTCATTAAAACTTTGAGAAATATCTGAGTCAAGTATTAACTTCATTTTGCATATGAATAAAAAAGTCTACAACAACAGGCTGAGAGAAATTTACAAACTGGTCAATTAATGATCACATAGTAGTGGAATGGTAATGGAATTGGTACTTCTGACTAAAAAAATTTTAATGATAAACTATTTTAAGCCAGTCAGTGTCATTTAATGTTTGTTTACTGATCTCAAAGTAAATTCTTTTTTAAAAATGCTGGTATGTGTCATGACTGGATCAGAATAAACCAAACACAAATCCAGGATAAACAATAAAAAATGTAGCCCACTAATAAATACTAAAAAATGTTTTCAATCTAAAATAAACCGAAGAAAGTATACAAACCTAGTAGACTATTCTATTGGTGGAGGGCAATGTCAGAATTAATAAGAAAAGCTATAACACTTTAAATAACATGGTGATATCATCAATGAAATACAGGTTCAGGCCATGTTTAAATGCAGTGCTATCTCATCATTGCATAGTACTTTACAGTTTTTACCCCCAATTTTGTCCACTCTTCTCATAATCATATTTTGAAGTTATAAAAGTTTAAAAGACAGATGTCTTGGAGAACCCTTGATAGTTGATTTTCAGTTAAAGGCTCCAAATCAACTCGCTGTAATACAAAAATAATCATTCTTTTGTTGGATAGGTGTATATAAAATGTTAGCACCAAAGGAGAAATATCATAGGCACTAAATCGGCATTTTTTATCCTTGGCTTCACGAAAATGTTATTTAGACACAGTCAGTAGTGAAATATAGTTTTAAATCTTGTCTTGGTAATTGCTAAACTGAAAACAAATATAGGCACGCTATAGTGTACACTATATTCTATGAGAACATAGGAAAATGATATTCACTACATTCATAAGTTCTGAGAATAAGGGGCTTAATTTTAACATAAATAATCAAGCAAATAAAATCATCTTAAATTAGTGTTCTTTTTTTGTCATTGCAGAAAATATTTTATTCCCCTACCTTCCTGAAGGAGGTGTACATTCCATCCACATATGACTTGGAGTGGGCTCAAAGTTTGTTAAATAATGACTTGGGGTGAGTGAGGAGGGGCAGCTGTCAAGGGAACAGATCAATTAGCCAATTGAAATGTCATTTCTCCACTCGCTGTAGGTTGTTGCCATGTCTTTTTGCTGCCTCTTCCTCTCTCTCTCTCTCATTTCTTATTCTCTTGTATTTTGATTTAGATATAAAAGCTGAGACATAATTTAAACTGACAGCAGAACCAAGCAGTGTGACCTTGCCAGGATTCCCACACAATCCACTGGGGGTAAAGCATGGGCCGAGGGAGGGGTGAGTGAGAGCGAATGAGAAAGGAGTGAGCTAGCCTTTCCAGATGGCCTTGCTGCTCATGTATTCCTGGAGGGCTAGTCTCGGGTCTGGATGTTTTCAGACCTGTCTGACAGGGGAATGAAAGCTGGAATGAAAAGGAAAAGAAGAAAAACTGGGGAATGACCAAAGATTTGAGCAATAGAGTGTTGATGATAATATAAGGCCCCATACTTGACTGTGTCAGACACTGAATGACTGGTATTTAACATTTTAGAGCTTAGTCTTGCTCAGCTAGGGAGAAATAGCTAGTGTCCACTTTAGTAACACAGTAACCAGATAAACACTACCTTGCCAGATGACAGATACTAAAAGGATAGCTGGCAGGAAGGCACCTAAGACTTGGGTTTGCAATGGACGCTCCAAAGGTTTCTGAGCAATAACTGCAATTTGTATATCCAGAGGAGGGCTGGGTGGCCTAATAGGTGTGTTTGAGATAACTACAGGCAGTATGAGATTGCTTCTGGCATTTTTTTGCAACTCAGAATGTCAGGATGTTCATTGGCAGTGTCAACAGTCTTTCCCACCATCCAGTTGCATGAGTCTACCTCTTTCCAAACATCAGGTGGCTTGTAAAGCCCAGTCAGCAGCTGGATGGGTTGAAGAATCTTCACCTAGCCAGGCCCTGGGAAAGCCTGGATGAATTGCTCCACCCCATTGCAGAGAGCACCTTTCTGGTGCCAATGTTTCTTTGCCTTGGAAAATGATGGAAAACCCCAACAAAGTTGCTAGAAGAAATTATTTTCCAAAACAGGAGAGTGAGAAAAGGTAGAATGGTCTGATGACTACGATGAAATGTTTCTCCGACAAAATAGCCATGGGAAGCCATGATCCATGAAAGGATTAGAAAGGACCTAAGAGAGAAGAAAGATCTGGAATGCATTCTTGACCAGATCTGTTATTGGACATGAGAATGATAAGGCAATAACAATAAAAACACAACACAAACCACAACAGCTGCCACTTAATGAATTCTTGCTTTGTGCCTGGCACTGTTGTAAGTGCCTGATGTGACATTTCATGTATTCCTCCCAGCAACATGATGAGGTAGGTCCTTAGAAAGGTCTAAATCAGTTTTAGAACCTGTGTAGGTTGACTCCAGAACCTTCTCACGTTTCCACAAGTGGTATCATACCTTGTGCTGTCGACTAGTCAGTTTTTGAAGGTAGTAATGAAACACAGACATAGTTTGTGTCCCTCAAGAAACTTAACATTTAACTGAGAAAGAAAATGAAAACATGAAACTACCACAATTTTTTATAATGAGATGAGATATAAATAATTAAAATCCCTTGCAAAATAATTAAAAATAATAAGATTGTGACCAAATGATGCTTGATAGAAATCAAAATGAGAATCAGGCTAAGAATCCATGAAGGCTGAAATTGAGCTGAGCCTGAAGAAGTGTGCAGGGAGGGAGAAGTGAATTATGTTCCAAGTTGCAGGAATACCAGAACACTGAGGTGAGAATGAGTTCGGTATGTTTTAGAAACAGTGAATTGATTGGAGAGATGACAATGGAGGGCCTGACGGCGGATCAAGGAGCTACAGAGTCAGTTGAGGAAGTGGAAGAAATTTAATGTCAGAGGAAAGCTGTAGCTTTCTGAGCAAATGGGCCGTACTGGGTACAAGCAGAGTCATAGGAGACTGTTCTCATAGCTGAGCTGATGGAGTGGGTATGAGAGATAGAGCGTACAATCTAGTCTATCTTTGAAGGAAACAATCATCTCTAAGCAGTTAGCATAACTTCTGTGAGGTGCAGCCTTAACATCTGAAAGCTCAGCTTTTGCAATGAACGACAGATGCCAGCAGAGCTTGTGTTCCACACAATGGAAGTAAATCAGCCCTGCCCTTTTCACAGTCAGCTCACATGCCTGAGATATAATATATGGGTTTCCCCTACTCATAGCTCCAAAAGTGGGAGTGGGAGGAGGCCCAGGGTTGAAAGGTGCTCATTTCAGGCTTGTAAATACACCTTTCAGTTGAAAAGAGCTATCATGTGTCTAGCTCACTCCTCCCCGACTCTGTGAGCAAGTCTCTTCCTTCAGCTAACTGGAATTACCACATCATTTCACTCCACCGGGTTTTCTTGACTTGGCAGTTTTCTGATTGCCTGGCGGTCACAGACCATATTCTATCTATTGCTGATACAGGGACCTAGAAATGAGGGAATTGAAAATGCACAAGGCTGTTACCAGGACCCCAGCTCAGAGCTGTCCCTGAACTGAGATTTTTGTTGTTGTTGCTTACATAGAGAATCAGTCTCCTTCTCTTCCTCAGCTGTCACATTTCCCTTGTTCCCCCTCCAGATCTCCTGCAGTCTCTCTTTTAACCTTGCCCACTCTGTCAGGCAATCCCTCTGTACAGAAGCTGTCCACGGG
The DNA here is from genome assembly GCF_000001405.40 of Homo sapiens. Taxonomy (NCBI): domain Eukaryota; kingdom Metazoa; phylum Chordata; class Mammalia; order Primates; family Hominidae; genus Homo; species Homo sapiens. Next base: position 117,669,529 of record NC_000003.12, on the reverse strand, counting down.
TAGCCCAGAACCTTAATGAGTATGAGGTGAGGCTCCATCATTCCTGTTTGAGAAAATTAAAATAACATCTCTGCAGTCAACTAAGCAACCTGTGTCCAGAGCACAGCGTACTTAGCAAAACGCATTTCCTCAATTTCAGCTCCTTGGAAACCTTTCTTAACCCCAGCCCGTCACCGTTGGACTCCCCGGCTCAGTGTCAAAGAGAGATCATTGTTTTGGCTGAGGTTCCTTTACACAATCCTGTTATAGATCCTAGGAAGTGAAGAGGAAATGTAAGTCAATAGTGAAGGCTACTTTCAATACTCAATAACCATTGCTGCCTAAATTCAGAATCTCTGCTGCACTTCCCTTGCATTCAGAATTATCCATCAATGGTTATAAAAGAATGAAAGGCATTCAACATTTTTAAAAATTAACTTTACGATTATTTTGGAATCATTTTAGATCTATATAAATGCCAAAAATTAGTGCAGAGAATTCCTCATGTCTTACCCATTTTCCTCTATTACCATCTTACATTAGTATGGTATATTTGTTACAATTAATAAACCAATTTTGACACACTATTATTAACTAAAGTCCATAGTTTATTCATGTTTCCTTACTTTTTACAAAATATAACTTTTCTGTTCTGGGATCTCATCTGGATACCAAATTACATAATCATGTCTCCTTAGGTTCCTCTAGACTGTCACAATTTCTCAGACTTTCCTTGTTTCTGATGACCTTGACAGTTTTGAGGAATAATGCTCAGGTATTTTGTTGAATGTTTCTCTATTGGAATGTGCGTGTTATTTTTCTCATAGATTGGCATTATGGATTTGAGGGAAGAAAACCAAAGAGGTGAGGTGCCATTTTATCACATTATGTCAAGGGTACCTATTATCAATATAACTTATCACTGTTGATGTTGAGCAGATCCCTTGGCTGGGAAAGTGTTTATCTGGTTTCTCCAGTGTAAAGTTACTGTTTTTCCCCCTTTCAATACTTTACTCAAAAGAAGTCACAATATGCAACCCGCACTTAAGGAATGGAAAGTTATGCTGTACCTCCTTGAAAGTGGGGTATATACATAAATTTTCTGTATTTTTTCTAAGCAAGAAATGTGTCTGTTCTCTTTATTTGTTTATTTAAAATTTATTCATAGCAATATAGACTCATAGATTCTTATTTTATGTTTTGGGTTATAATCCAATACTACTTTATTTTGCTGCTTAAATTGTACAGCTTTGGCTATTGGAAGCTCTTTTAATTGTATCCTGTTTCTCTTTAATTATATCCCGTTTCTCTTTCCCATCATTGTAGGATTTTGATTTGTTTGGTTGTTTCTTTCTTTCCGACACTATAAGTTGTTCCAAGCTGACCTGGAATATTTCCTGCCCGAGTCCTAGAATGAACCATTTCTTCAAGGAACACTAGTTCCTGTTATTGGAGAATAGTGTTAGAAATTAAGATGTAGGTACTAGGTGAAAATTAAAAATTTGAGCACCCAACCCTGACATTTTGTGTCAAGATCTATTAGGTGATAAATATAAATTTCATAAAACCCTGCAAAATAAATATTAATGTTTTCTTTTGTAAGATGAAAATAGAGTACTAGAGAGGTTGGAGAATTGTCCAAGTTTAAACAGTGAACCCCAGAGCTACAGTGTGAACTTTGGTTGTCTAAGTCTAGAACTGTACCTCAGCCACTTATTCTGTATTGAAAACTGGTGATGTCAGAAACAAGATGAAATGTAAAGAATGGGTTCCCTGGATTCAAGTAAGCATAGTTTTGAATATCACCTCTTTCTGTGTGTATGCTTGTGTTAAAAGGTTGTTTAGATCTGTACGTGCAGAGCTTTTAGAACAATGCCTGACAGATGGTATTTGATAAATTTTATTATCGGTTATATCATCATCATCTTTATTATCTTCATTATCTCCTACTGTAAGCTTACGGTTCCATTTCTCATTCTTCAGCTACTGATTACGGGCATCCTGAAGTGTCCTTATCTTGGTCTTATAGAAAGGGTAAATGAACAAGCCAAATAATTCATTCATGGGTGCCTAATGCCACCAAACCAAATATTTAATGTATGAGTGAACTTCTTTTAATCTATACGATTTTTCTCCTTGTTTGAAGTAAAGGAAGGAAATTCGGAAGGAAGGAATACTGTAGGAAAAGAGCTAGGCTCCCCTCGACTAAAGTGGCCAGATGTCTTGAATTGTTTGCAAGTTTGCCCATAATGCCTTTTCTTAGAGTCTATTCAAACTCCTCTATAGTCTATTGATCACAGTCTTCTGTCTCTAACTGAAGGTGAGTGTGTGGAAGTATATATGTGTGTGTGTGTGTGTGTGTGTGTATATATATATATGGAGATATATATATATATGTGTGGATATATATATATGTATCCCTCTTTCTCTCCTCTGGAAATGCAGAAAAACTGCATGCTGAGGGAGGGAGGGGTTGGGAGGATTCATGGGCAATCACTAGGTCATGAGGATTAGCAACCATCGTTAACTCTGATGATATCATGCTCATTTCCTAAACACTAACCCTCAGTTATGCACAACCGTCATTCACAAACCCACTTAAAATATAAATCTATCAATTTTACTTTAGCTTAGTAGCATCCTGAAAGTCCTGTACACAGAGCACGTACTTTAAACAAGTAGATAGAGACCCCAGATAAAACATAAACAGAAAAGGGGAGAGAAGTAAATGCTTTGCTAATGAGCTAAGATTAGGGTTTCCTTTTCTTTCAAGTGTCATGTTTAGGGCTTAAGCACCTCTGATCTAGAAAAAGAGATCAGAGGATCTTTGAGATGCAGGGGTTATGTGAGGTCACCCATCTCAGCTCGAATACTTCTAATGCAGGAGAGAAGATCAGGAGACACTACACAGGTGGTGCAGCTTGGCTGACTGCTATATTGTTTTCTTGATAAACTGAAGGAATCATGGCCACTTTTGCACTGGCAGAACTCAGGGTCATTTGGTGACAGAATAATAACATGGGACAGTGAGGATTCTGAGGAGAACTGGGCTCAGGTTAAGGAGTGAGATCTGATTCAATGTTTTCATTTCTTGTTACTCCTCACTCTAGCCAGTGTCACGTTCCTGGCTACCCCATAAATATCGTATCTGTTCTGCTTTGAAAAGGAGCTGTGCTGAGCTCCTGGTGAGCTTCTGATGGTGGCTGAGGCTAGTATTGCAAAGTAACAGGAAATAAAGAAAAAAAAAAGGAAGGAAAGGGCAAAGATAAAAAAAGAAGAAAAAGAGTGGGAATTTATGCAGCTGTTTCTTTTTTTTTGGAATCTCACTCTCGCCCAGGATGGAGTGCAGTGGTGCAATCCTGGCTCACTGCAACCTCTGCCTCCTGGGTTAAAGCGATTCTCCTGCCTCAACCTCCCGAGTAGCTGGGATTACAGGTGCTCACCACCACACCCAGCTAATTTTTGCATTTTAGTAGAGACAGGGTTCCACCATGTTAGCCAGTGTGCAACTGTTCTTGACTAATTTCTTAATATACTGAAAGGAAGATACAAGAATGAATAGATGGGTAAATCTATCCAGTACCAGTCAAAAGCTCACTCTCTCTCCTTCTCTCTTTTCTCTGAAACTTTTCTTCCTAGAACCATATAAATATAAGAACTGAAAATAACCCAGAAGATCATCTAAAGCAATCCTGTTTTTTTTAACAGATTAAAACTTTATTCCTGAGAAATGGAACTTATTGTGAAATGATTGCAAAACCCACATTTAAACCCATGTTTTCTGATTCCCACTGTCATGTGGAGGGCTATCCTCCTCATAGTCTGCTATGTCCTTTTTTGTCTTTCTCCTTCTCATCCTACAACCACCCCCAGCCACATGCAGGGTTAGTCCTATATTTGTTCCTGTTTCTGCTATATTTGCAACTTAACTTATGGATGGAAACATGGAGCCTCACTGATTTCTGGCAGAGATCTGTCTCATGTGCTGACAAACACTCCCTGGCACTGGGCACCCGTCCAACAGCAGGTGCCTTGCTCGGCAAACGGCTCTGTAGTTGCTTCTCAAAGGAGGCAGGTTGAGGTCCAGCATGTTCTTCCTGCTGCCTCGAGGTTATGATCTAGCACCAGCATTTCTCTCACCAGGTGAAAGGAAGTGAGACTAATGCTGCAAGGTTACCAACACTAAACATGGGAGGTGGCTATAGGGAGCATCTGTGGCAGCTTAGGGATTCTTAGCTTGATGGATGGGCAAGAAGATAAGATGAGACATTTGAAATTGTTTACATAGGACTATTGTCCATGAAACTGAGTAGTTGACCTTCAGGTCACGATGAAATGTCTGCGTGTTTTCTCAAGGTGAGAGTGAGCTACAAGATGAGGCTTCAAGGACCTAAATTTGTATCATTATAGGACTCATTGAGGCAAATTATTCTTGTTTAACAATATGCGTTTATTTTTGTACATTACACACTAATTTAGACACATATAGTATATACGTAATGGTTATAGCTATAGATGCTATAGATGAGCAAATAGAAGGTAATGAACACAGGGCTTAAAGTTTATAAGAGGCATATTGCCTTAAAGTTAATAAAAGGTTATAGACACAGAAAAATGAATGGTGGGACCCTCCATGAAATGGATGGCACAAAAGCAGGAAAGCACAAGTCATGTAGAAAGGCAGTGAAAAACAATTTTTGAGAGATCCTAAGGGTTTGAGTAGGGGTATAATAAAAGAAAATGTTGTAAAAAATGACATGCAGAATTAAAATATCTGAGTGAGGTCTATCTTCTTTGATTGACAAGCCAATGAATGTATTATTTGTTAGAGGAGTGACTTGATTTGAAAAACATTTAAAAATATTAATCTGGCAGCATGCAAATGATACATTGGAAATATAGAGGTCAGAGACATCAAGTTTAATTAGAAAAGTTTGTCAGTTATTCAAAAATAAGAAGTTATAGGACCTAAATTAGAGTGGTGGCACTGAGAAAAGAATGTAAGGATGAATAGACAGGTGGATGGAAGAAATTCCGCACAGAAATAATGGAGCAGCTATGGCAATAAATTCACTTTGTGGGTCCAAGGATAAGGGGTTAATTATGATGCACAGGTTAGGTATGGGATTGATTTGACTGCAATGTAATTCTCTCAGTTGTGTCATAGGGGCTAATTTTTTTGATATGATCAACTCATATTGTTTGACCTTAGCTGATTGGGAAAATGGTGGCATAACTGAAAATATGAAGAAAAGCCAAAAAGCAGAGATATCTTATGGGACAAGGGAGAAAATTTTGTAAGACAAGCTTTAGGTAATAGCAGAACACTGATACCAGGCTCTGGGAAAGGCAGAACTGGTGCTCAGAAAAGGTAACAAGATTGAAGTGGAGACCACATGTTGAAAGTCAAGTGTGTCCAGGACAAAGAGCATGGGGACCACAATTAAGCCTTTGTAACACCCTCCTTCAAAGGTTGGGAGGGAAAGAAAGTAGTTTTCAGAGATGTCACAGTTGAAGAAATGGGAAAAAGCAAGATTTCATTCTGCTGGGGACAGAATCTGAATCTCAAAGGATTAAGGAGAAAGTAAGTGGAAACATGAAAGTGACAATTATGAACTAATGTTCTACAGCAGAAAATTAATTACATTCACGGTGTTGCACATAAAACCTTATTCAGGAAGGAGACTTGGACTGCCTCTTATTTCCAACCCCATCCCATGTTTATTTCACTTTTTCATTTGCATACAATACTGTTAGGCGTCTGATTTCATGGTTGCTGTATTCATGGATTCAGCCAACCATGGCTGGAAAGTATTTGGAAAAATAAAAACAATAAAAATAATTATACAACACAAATTACAACATATAGTAAAACAACTATTTACATAGTATTTACATTGCATTAAGTATTATAAGTAATCTAGAGATGATTTAGAAGTATACTGGAGGATGTGCATAGATTATATGCAAATACTATGCCATTTTATATAAAGGACTTGAGCATCCACAGATGTTGGTATTCATCCCAGATCCAATCTCCTGCAGATACTGAGATAAAACTGTGCTTATTATTATGTGAGTTTTGACAGACAGATTTATATTTTTCTGTATCCTAGGAAACATAGACTGAGTCCAGAGAGTCTCAAATTATTTTCTGCCCCCATCAACTTGCTTCTCTGTCTTGTCCAAGGAAGCCTGACTCCCATAGATTTATGAGATAGACTCCACTTCTGGTCTATGTTTGGTCTCCCTGAGCTCCATCTGTTGTGGGAAGCCCACAAAACTGTCTCTTATTTTTTTCCCTCCAATGGTTCTTGTTTATCTCATTGCATTATCTCCTTTACTTCTCTTTGAATCTGTGAAACAATTCTGCTCATACTTGCATCTTTGTCCATCATTTAAGAAACTAGGATATTAACACAACTCCTTGTAACATTGAAACAATGATATTTATATTCATATAGCTTTTTAGTTTCCTAAGTGATAATATGTCTGTATCTTATTTGGCCTTCACAACAATTCAGGAGTTGGGTAGGCCAAATAATTATACCCATTTCAGAGAGGGAAACTGAAGATCTAGTGAACAGTGTATAATGAACACACACTGGAACCTAGTCTTACATTAATATTTCCTGACTTCTTACCAGTTTTCATCTCATGACCTTATATTGCCCAAATTATCTTTCATAGAAAACCCACAGGTCTGTCTTTCACAATGTGAGGTAGTCATTGGGACCACTGGCTTCTGCATCATACAGACTGAATAGTTAGTTCCAAGTCATTGTGTGGCTTTGCAAAGACTCAGTAAACTCCTTGATTCTCAGTGGCATCACCCGGAAAATGGTGGGAATAATAATAATATGCCATCATAGGGTTGCTGTAAAAATCAAATAAAACTACATTATAGAGAATGCATAAGGATCACCCAACAAAGGTTAACAGCAATAAAATAATTTATTTAGGATAAATAATCATATTTGATCATAAGCTTTTTTCACAAGTGTTCTCTTAAAACTCACATGGCATGCCCTTGAATGTGCTTTTATATAGTGAGGGAAATCTGCAATTAGGGGAAATAAAATATGTTTTCAGAGATAAGTAATTTATACACATCTATTGGAGCTGAAATAAAAAATTCTGATAAGTCAAGAAAAGTAGTATTATTGATTAAATAATCCTTAGTTATAACAGGCTTCTTTTAGTCTTCAGGCTTGAATTTTTATTCTTGCTTTGCCTTTTTCCTCGTCCTTATTTTTCTTCCCCTTTCCTTTTAAGCCATGGCACCTTGTAGTGTTATTCTTGCCCTCACAAATAGGACAGACTGTCAGATCTTAAAGCCAATGTTAACAATGTAGAAGGAGAAACAGAAATCTCACTGAAATACAAATACTTTTATTAATTACCAGCATTAGCAGTAAAAAGAAAAGTAGAAAATTACAGACAAGGAGAGCAACTTCTGGTTCTGAATGTTCTTCGTATTTCTCCATGATTACAGCTTGAAGTGCCTTTTCTTCCAGAGGCAGGGTAGCTTGGATAGGAGACTCAGTGAGATTTTGTGCCTTCAATAAATGTCAAATTCATGACGTCCCACTGGTTCTAGGATATAACCGGAATGTACACCCACTCCTCACCTGTGCTCTTTCCTCTGCTACCTAGATAGAAGGTAGTAGGAGGATAATTGGCAGAGTCAGACACCACTGAGAATCAGCTCTGAGATCTACTCAGGAAAACACTATAATGGGCCCTTTTTGCAATAAACTGTGTCTTCTGAGTCCAGCCAATGAGGCACATTCAGAGGGGAAAACTTCTAACCTATATGAGTCACTGAATATTTTAAGGATTAATTCATAGATGCATACACATTAGCAATTTTAACTTTTTGTTTTTTGCCTTCCCTGATCAAAGCCAAATTATGAAATATTTTTAAAGGCCTCATATCTGTCTGATGAAAAATTTTGTTAGCACAACTGGATAGATAGAAGCTCCTAGAGACTACTGAAATCAATTAACTCTGACATGTTATTTTTGTTGTTCTATACCGAAGCTATGTCAAGTGTTGGGAATCTGCCCTTCTAAGCCACAAGCTTCTGGCTTATAGAGTTAAGTTGTCTCAGGACCACCTGGGGAGCCTTGATGGTATCTGAAACAAAAACAGAGAACTAAGAAACATATCCTATTGCACTTAGGCAATATTCCCATTATTTTAATAATGGGAAAGGGAATCTATTTAAGAAACTCAGGTTTCTATACAGGAGAAGATGAGGGATATGGAACAAATGGAGATGAGAGAATGAGGTAAATGGCCTTCAAAGTTAGGTAGAGAAAAAAAAAAAAAAGAAGAAGGTGGAGCCCCACACTTAGAAATGTCATGGGATGTGGCTTTGTAGGAGGTTTGAGTCTTGCTCATTCATTTGCCAGCTCTCAATGAGCAGGGAACTGTGGGCCCTGCAAGGAAATGAAAGGAACAAAGATAATAGCAGCCCTCAAAGACTTCCTGGTAGTTTTGTTTTAGAATCAAAGTATGGTAGAACCAAAGGCAACATTCAATAGCAGAAAGCTCAAGCCTCTTCATTTTTCGGATGAGACAACTGAGGCATAAGAAGGTGATGTGACTTGCACATTTCTTTTTTTTTTTTTTTTTTTTTTTTTTTTTTTAGCAAACTTGTTAGTTGCCAAATCAAGGCTAAAACCCGACAGTCTTCATAACTCCTAGTACATTGCTCTTTTTCACTCTACCACTCCCTTTAGAAGTCTGAGCTCTTTGTAGGCTTTTTTGCTCTAAATTCTTAACAGAAATATTTTATCTCTTCTCTTGAGGTAGAGAACCTAGCAAAGATGAGAAAACTTCTTTCTATCCAGATTTTACTACTATTCATTCAATTCTTTCACCACCTCTGTCCTCCACACAAATTTTCACCATGCTCACACTATAATGTCCCCTTGAAACAAATCTTGAAGTTATAGAGTCTGCTCTAAGAAACCCTGGCTGCTCTCTCCTTGAGGGGAGTTTTAAGGAACACTTTCTTGCTTGTGTCAGAGGGATCCTTGACCCAATGAACCCCATGAGAGTCAGTATGCACTTGTTGAACACTCCTTCAATGCCACCTACAGATGCTTGAGCCCTTGATCTTAATTAATAAACATGGAAACAGATTTATAAGTCATAGTTTTTATATCAGATAAAGTGACTGCCATTCTTCCTTTATGGCTTTCCAGTATTTTAGTCACTTATTTGAATTTGAATCATATTTTTAAATGGACATATATATTTTCTTTTGTTGGTTATTTGGGACAAATGTGCGGCAAATATACACAAACATTATACACTAGTTTGAATATGACTCTCTTAAATTTAATGAATGTCTTAAATTTCCAAATCTATAATTTTGTATGCTTTGAAATTGAAGAAGCATGAGTTTTTATTATTCATGAGTGTACCATTAAGTTATTTCATAATGATGTATTCAGTAAAGTGATGAGAATCATGATAATAATACTTTTATAATCCTATTTATCTGCTATACATTCATTAGAACAGGTGGAACCTGGTTGATCAAGTGTACAATTTACTATTAAAATCAAAATGTCCCTAACTATCACATTTCATGGTGTTAGGAAATGTCATTGATTCTTATTTCTGGAGTACGCTGGGATCTAAGGTATATATGTTCATATTAATTGTATAGTATAATTATTGGAATATAATAAAATATAATAATATCATTTAATGTTTTCAGTGATAGTGTACACTTTGCGGTGGAAGAAAAGCTGCAACTTTGACACTCTCACATATGTTCTTCATACTGAGATAAATGAATGTTAGATCTATGTTTACTTGCTTTGTTTTTATAACCTGTGATTTCTGGATACATATGCCAGCCTTTGGTATGCTCTGCAATATATATGAGTATTATGTTATTGTCTATGATTAATATACTTAGGATTGAGTGGCTCAATTACAATGTAGCTAAAAGAGAAAAACAGTAAAAGTGGGCAAGGTCTTAGGTAAAGCTTGTAGAGATCATATAACAAGTTTTAGATGGGTAAGTGGAAGAAGCAAAATTGATTTAAGCCAGGGTACTGAAAACTGATGTACTAGTGATTGTTAAATATTACCACGTCTGAGGAAACATTTGAGTAGCCTAAAATGTGGGCCAAGGCCTTTACATACTTTAATTAGTGCTGTATTATTGCACACCATTCATACGACTTGAGAATTTCAAAATAATCAATGGTCCCTGTTCTTTTCATCTGCCCCATATCTTGTTACCTTGGCAACAGACATTAAATGATTTTAAGAATTTTCAGAATTATAATCACACTCTACTTCAAAAGTGTGCTTCTAGGTAAATAAACTTTAAGAAAAAAAGAGAAATGAGACCTAAAGGTAACCTCAAAGCACACTGAATGAGAACCTGAAGGATTGGCATTTTCTGTTTACAGTGTACTGTAAAAACAACTTCCGAGCTTTTGGTGGAGTCCTCCAGATGTCAGAGTCTTCTTAGGCCATTCAGGTACAGAAGAATTATGCCATTTCTCCTCCCACTCCAATACTGGATTACTTGCAATTGGTTTTAAATCAGTAGGTGGATCAGAAGAAAGAGAAGGAGGAGGAATAATAGCAGGGCATGAAAATAGAGGAAGATGCTGAAGAAAGTGATGGTGCAGGTGGTGGTGATGGGGAAGATGCCAGAGAAGGAGATGAGGGAAGGAGAGGGAGAAGGAGAGTAGGAAGAAGGAAAGTAAGTTCCACACCCAGCTAATTTAACCAGCAAAAAGAAGATAATTATTTACCATCATACTTGTCTAAATTCCCTTCTTCAAGGACATGGATAGATGCAAACTTAGAATTATAGAACTCTAATTCATTCAGTGAACTCTTAGATGCCCAAGCACATGCAAATGTCTGACATTCAGGAATTGTCTTGAGCTTAGAATATGGCCTTACTTACCAGGGTAAAAGATATGCAATATGAGTTGATTTGGTTTTAAAAATATGCACTCAAATCTCTGAACTATCTAGGATTTCTTCGTGTCATCGTGTTTGATAATTTAACACATAATCCAATCATTTTTTGATATCTGAAATGAACTAGTTATTCTGTTTGTTCCTATTCTCATTTTTAAAAAGTAAATATGACTATCTAAGCTCAAGTAGATATTTCAAGAGTTCTCATATGAAAAGGACTTTCACTGGTGATTCCCTGTTGAAAAATAATGTAAAAATATAAAAGGGAAGAATAATTGATATCACATGTAAGTGTTTATATGGACAGTTTTTATTTATCTTGTGTTACTGAAAAATAAGAATAAAATATCTGCTGGATGCTGGATAGATTGTATGTTGTCCAGCTTCTAGTGCTTCTTATTTTTTGAGTTAAGTCTTTGGGAACACTTTTTGACCTAAGACAAAGCTAAATTCTGTAAATTTGAGCCATCTTGTAACAGATTTCTGCAATCTGTATGAATACAAAGAATTTAATTTAAACTGAAAGCAGAGTGGAGTTTATATGCGTATTATAGTCATCATTTAAGACTCTATTCACCTGGCTTGCATAGCTCTTCTGGACCAGGTGCTATACAACCCTCTGAATCTTGTTGCTGAGTTCAGGAGGAAGCCTAAAATAAGAGAGAACAGGAGACAGCTGGAAAAACACTTGAGTAAAGTTAGGAATCTTCACACTAGTCCCTCCTGGACCAATACGTTTTTCTGTAAACTTGAGAGTGCCCCTGAAGTTTTCTGGGCCTTGGTTCCCTGTAAACAGCAGGAGATGCTTGTAATGATGATGTCTAAGGCTCCACCATCTAGTCCTGGACTGCTAGGTGGTTTCAACAGTTAAGGTGACTGTTGCAAATCACTCTTGACAGAATACAAACTGCTTTCCAACCTTTGTGAGAGGTGAACAGTGAGGCACACCTCCTTACCCAGCGAAATCCATGGATTTCATGCCTATTTTCACCACCACTTCGTGAATTCCCTTAATAATTATGCTGTGCCTAGCCAAGTCTGTCAGGAATTAGCAAATAATTTGGTCTGGTTTTGAAGGCGCTGTCATCTAAGAACATACGCTGACCTTAATCTGCTGAGTCATAGGCAATATTTGTAAATATTTTCAGTGCAGTTAATTTTCCAGAGCCCCCCAGTTGATCCTCTCTGCCTTGCAATTTCTACATTGCCTTTCGGCCATTAGTAATTTTCTTGCAATCTAAAAGCAATACTTAGGACTCAGAAGCTCTGCTCTGATGGACGGTTGGATTATAATGTTTCCTATTTTAGTGCACTGTTGATGGATGGGTCAAGCCAGTAGTAAAAATAAATAAATATAATTTCAAAAACTAGAGGTGCACCAAAGTCTATTTTCTTTTCGTCTTGTAAAATATAATCTAAATTTCCTGTTGTATTGAATGTGTGCAGAACATAGAAGCTTGCTTCCAAAGAATTACTGTACGGTGAGGAAAAACTATTAGCAACTTTACAATGGAGAAATCTAGCAAACACTATGTTGACCAGGTTATCAAGGTTAATGTCACCAGTAACAGGCATGTTGGTATCATATAACTCTAATGGGATGGGATGAGAAGGGCATGCTGCCTGTCTAGTATTCTTCCTCTACACCTATAACGCTAGTATAATCAAAGAAAACAAAAATGTCAGGCAAACCAATTTGAGGATATTCACCAAAATTCCTGTCTAGCACTCTTCAAAATTGTCAAGATCATGAAAAACAAGGAAAGACTGAGAAACTATCACAAATAGGAAGAGACTAAGGTAACATGAGAACTAAATGTAATGTGGGATCCTGAATTAGATCATGGAACAGGAAAAAGACATTAGCAGAAAAACTGGTGAAAGTGAAATAGAGACAGCATTGTAGTCAATAGTAACTTACCAATGTTCATTTCTTAGGTTTTGACTGTTTTTCCTTGGTTTTGTAAGATGATGACATTAAGAGAAACTGGATGAAGGGTATGCAGCAACTCTCTATGACCTCTTAAGCATGTGTCTATTGTGAAAAGAATAACTAACTTAGCTACATGTGCCTGTATTTGTTTGCTAGGCCTACCATAATCACATAGCACAGATGGAGAGGCTTAAACAGCAGAAATCTATCTGACTGTTTTGGAAGCTTGAAGTCTGACATCAAGGTGTCAGTACGTTTGGTTCCTTCTAAAAGCTGTGAGGGAATAACCTGTTCTAGGCTTCTCTCCTTGGCTTCTCCTTGGCTTCTCCTTGGCTTCTGTGTCTCTTCCCATAGTCTGGCCTCTATGCCTACCTGCCACTGAATCCAATCAGGTATCAGGGATTCGGGCCCACCATAATGGCCTTATTTTAACATAAGCACCTCTGTAAAGACCCTATCTTCAAATAAAGTCATATTCTGAGGGACTGGGCATTAGAACTCCAATATATCTTTTTTGGAAGGACACAATTCAACCCATGTCAGCATCTCAGAGTTCTTTAGCCTTTTACATTCTGAAGATATTTTGGCTCCTTCTTCTTTTATTCCCCATATCCAGTGTATGACTAAACCCTACATCTTTTACTTACTAAATGCTGCTCAATCCATGTACTTCTCTTTCTCTGTGCAATCACCGCCACCACTCCAGTCCAAACTCTTACAACAATTTGTCTCGACTTCAGAAAAAAAAGAAAAACCCTCTTCAATTATTTTTCAAATTATTTTTTTTGCTCTGCTCCAGTCTACTCTCTAGATTGTAAGCAGCAGTGTCCTCACAATGCAAATCACCTATGCTTAAAAACATTCCAAGTCTTCCCATTGTTCTGAGAATAAAAGATCAAATCTCTACCATGACCTCAGGGCCCTCTGTGACCTCCCAGTCTATTAGCCACACCAAAAACCTCATCTGCCTCATCCTCTCTGCTCTTGCAGCACTAGCCAATTTTACATCTTTGCAGAAAGCAGAAGCTTTCTCCTGCCATGGGGATTTACTTGTGCTGTGTTCTCCCTTCTATCCAGCTTGCCCACCTGATTACCTCCACTTCCTTCCTGCTCATCCATCAGATCTCAGTTCCAGCATTATTGTATCAGGAACATCTCTCTTGCATCCCTCCAGCCCAGATCAGGACACCTGTTACATGTCATCTGTACATCATACGCTTTTCCTTCAGAGTACTTATCACATTTTGAAATTTTACATTTATGTCATTATTTTATTGACTTTTATCTCCACCACTGGATTGTAAGATGCGTAAGGCAGGAACCACGTATCTTTGACTATCTGCCTCATGTGTAATAACTAGCTATTTAGTACCTATAATGCTTAGCTTATAGTTAGTTCTCAAATTCTTAAATTAATTAATATATCCATAGATTTATTTTCAATTTATATTGTTTAATTTGACACTGTATTTCTTCTCCTGGTCTCTTATAGGTACTTGATAAATTTGCTAATAATATTTAATTCACTTTATAGTTAATGCACTTATATCAAATCAATCACACATACTTCAGGTAAAAAAAGAGAAATAATCATTTTTGTGATTTCCCAACCTAGTGACAACAGAAGGCCAAATTTTATTTGCTAGGCTAAATAGAAGCTTCAACTTTGATAATTTCCATATTTTAAATTGATCAATATCTATAAAATTTATTTTATTATAATTTCTAAATGTTAGAGAGGCAGACCTAAAGCTATATATCTAAGTATATTGAAAATGTTTTAAGTTATATGTGACTGAGTATAGACTTTCTATTGATTACAGGCTTTGAAGTGAGTATGTTTATTAAAAATGTTCTTTGAGCCTTTCCATCACATTATGGAGAGAGATCCAGACATTTTTGTAATACTCATTAGTGTTTGTAATACTAACAAATCTCTTATAGCAAATGTATCCTAAAGAAGTTTTTCCACTCTGAGTAAACAATAACTATGGGATGTTATTGTTTGCTATAACAATAACATGGGATGTTCCATTCCGTGGTTTAACAATTATGTCCCTCTGAAAATACCAACACCCACTTTCACAGACAGCTCAGAAGGCAAAAATATTCAGGACATTTTAATTTCTATAGGACACTAGGGTTTGATTACAGCAAGTGTTTATCTACAGTAGTGTTCTTTTGTGTGTGCAGAAGGTGGAGGGAGAGAGAAGCCTGGCTACTTATGAAAAAATCTATATTTAAGTTAAAATTCAATGCCCCAAGATGAGAATTTTAAATAAATATCCTGAACATTTAATGCGTTAATTTATTTTAAATAAATACCCTAAATATTTAAGACATTAATTTAAGAAGTATGAAATGAATACTTACCATATGCTGACTCTATGTTCAATCTGTAATTCACAGCAATGGCTCAAGTGAACACATCTCCTGTTCTCAGGGGGCTTATATTCTAATGTGGCAACTCAATATATGTCAGTCAAGCTTATGAGGGATCATTTTTGGTCCAAGAGCAATTTCAGAGATATTGATTCAGTTATGTTCTCTTGCTTGAAGCTCTAAGTCTTTAAGAGTGTGGCTGAAAACAATCGCCTCTTGTCAGAAACCTGCTTGTCCAACAGGAGACAGCCTTGCAGATTTAAGCCAAGAAAACCAAGCCCAGCTCAGCCAGAGTGAATTATCTTTGGGATCCTGTGCAAGAGCAGAACCCTCACAGTTGTGTTTGATTGTCCTTCAGTTGCTCTTGCAATATTTGAACAGAACTGCTTTCACTTTGAGAGGATGCATATATGTGTGCATGTCCTCTCTTGGTATGGCATGGACTTACGGAGCTGCTCCCTTACTGAGGCCTCAATGAGAATTATTCCTAATGCTTGCATTGCCCACCTATGGATAAGTCAAATGGAAAAGAGAGGCAAATTAAAGCATCTCCAAGGGTCACCCTCTAGACCGTGGGGTAGTGTGTGTTTGTGTGGGAAGATATATATTTTAGCCTTCTTATCTGTCTCCTAAACGAGTACTTTCTATATAATATCCCATTTTACTTTTCTGTATAATTCAATCTTCCAATATGAAATATTCTTAAACAAAGAATAATCACTTTGTAGTAAAAATAGGACTAGACTGTAGAATCTCCACCACTCCTCTTTGGGGAAGGTTTATTTCACTCCCCCACTCAGCCTCATGTGAATGCATGTGACCACAGGTGAAGTAACCCTGCAGTTTCAGGGCTCAATGCCGTCAGTTCCTATGGTCTCCTCTTCCCTGCCCTATCCTGACTTTCCTCTGCACCAAATTCCACCCTCTGCCCTTATGTCATCATCCTAGTAAAGGGCATCTCCCCAGGCAGAGCCAAAGGAAATCGTATTTGCAATATCAAGCATACCAATACTTGATAATATTTTCCATCTTGTCAAAATACTTCCTTTATATGTTGTACTTGAATTTTTTAAAGATTTTTTTAAGAGAAGATTTAGGCTCACAGCAAAATTGAGAGGAAGGTAGAAAGATTCTCCATACAC
The DNA here is from genome assembly GCF_000001405.40 of Homo sapiens. Classification (NCBI taxonomy): domain Eukaryota; kingdom Metazoa; phylum Chordata; class Mammalia; order Primates; family Hominidae; genus Homo; species Homo sapiens. The sequence continues at coordinate 117,653,124 of NC_000003.12, read as the reverse complement.
CCCCTGCCCACACACCTGCATGGCCTTCTCCCCTGTCAGCATCCACCATCAAAGTGGTACATTTGTTACCACTGATGAACCTACACTGACAACTCAAAATCACCCAATGCTCATAGTTTACATTGGAGTTCACTCTCGGTGTTGTACATTCTACAGGGTTGAAGAAATGTGTAATGACATGTCTCCACCATTGTGGTATGATACAGAGTATTTCCACTGCCTAAAAAGTCCTCCATGTTTCATGTATTTATTACCCAACTTCTGGCAACCACTGATCTTTTTATTATCTCCACAGTTTTGCCTTTTCCAGAATGTCAGGGTTGGAATCATAAGTTGTGTGGCTTCTTTCACTTAGTAATATGCATTTAAACTTTCTTCTTGCCTTTTCATGGATTGATAGCTTCCTTTTAGTGTTGAATAATATTCCATTGTCTGGATGTACCACAGTTTATTTATCCATTCACCTACTGAAGGACATCTTGATTTCTTCCTAGTTTTGATAATTATGAATAAATCGGCTATAAATATCCACTGACAGGTTTTAGTGTCCTCATTAGTTTTTAATTCCTTTGTGTAAATACCAAGCAGCACATTTCCTGGATCATGTGTTTTAAAACATGTTGTTTTCTAAGAAGCTGCTACACTGTCCTCTGATATGGCTGCACCATTCTGCATTTCCACCAGCAATGAATGAGTTTCCTGTATTCGATGTTGTCAGTGTTCAGGACTTTGGCTATTTTAATATGTATATAGTAGTATCTTATTTTTATTTTAATTCACATTTCCCTGATGACATGTTATGTGGAGCATCTTTTCATGTGCTTATTTGCCATCTGTATATTTTCTTTGGTGAGGTGTCTGTTAAGGTCTTTGGTCCATCTTTAATTTGCTTGTTTGTATTCTTATTGTTGAGTTTTAAGTGCTCTTTGTGTATTTTGTAACACAGTCCTTTATCAAATGTGTCTTTTGCAAATATTTTCTCCCAGTCTGTGGCTTGTCTTCTCATTTGATTGATTGTGGTTTACTTTTACACCTGGAAGTGGGAGATAATATTACATTGCTTTTGGTTCTTGGTACCTAGCATGACCCCAGATATGTTAGTTCTTAATGTCTTTTTGGAGAACTCCCAATGAGTAAAAAGTGTAACTTTTTTGGATGGGTTAAAGTCCAGTTGAATCCATTCTCTTCACATCACATGAAGAGTTAGAGGGATAACTTTATAGATATCTTTAGAATACTTGATTGTCCTCATTCACCTCCTAAGGTTAGGTGTAAGTTCCCAATTGACATTATCCTAATAAGAACACACACAATGCTTCATTCTCCTCGTCAACCAGAGTGTTTTCCTTTTGCAAGAGGAACTTGCTGCAGAACTTTGCTGTCCATATTGATAAGCTATAATGCTATTCAGTTGGCAAGACATGGCAAGGTTACTTCTCTTGAGGTTATGCTCAGTGGCAAGACACCCATTTACTTAGAAATTAGATTTTTAAAAAGAAGCTTGCTTCATTTTTATTAGACAGTATTTAGAGATTGCAATGTTTGCATAAGCTATTTCTCAGGAATAATTTACTCTAACCCTAACCCTATTCTTGAGGATAGCGTGCTCATGCATAACAGCTGCAGAATATAGGTCATTGTCTTTTATTTCAATGACACTTAGCAGATTCCTTCCATCTGACACGTACAATACTGCTTCTCTGCTTCTTTCCTCTTGACAGAAATGAATGTCGGCCAAAAAGTAGAAACCAAAATAGCAAAATAAAAATATTTTTAAAGTGGAACAATTTCAAAACTGGGCACATGAAGGAGAAATGAAAAATTAATGCCATTGGAATATGTTCTGACCTAAACCTTTAAAATAACTTGTAGCTTTTTTAGTAGGTGGGAGGGCATGATTTTTCTGGAATTTTGTGTAGGAGAAGGAGTTGGCAGGGAGAAGTAACCTCTTGCCCCTCAAGGTCTTGATGGATTAGTCCTGGCCCAAGAAGAGTGCTGATGTTACAGCCATCAAAAGAAGGGGAATAAGCAAAAGTTGAAAAGGGCAAAGGCAGTGGCTCATTTGTGGCAGGGCCACCACTGAGCTGCCCAAAATGTCATTAGGCTGAAACTGAGGAGCCAGCCTTCACAATTGACAATCACTTAAGCCTCCAGCAATAAAGAGATAATATGAGAAGTGGGACAGAGGGAAGGTTTTTTCCCCTTCATTGTTTCCAAGTTGTTTAGAGATGAGAAGATCTGAAAACGAAGCTGTGAATGACCACTCAGGAGCCTCTGGGTACTGCTGACCTCTCTGCAACTCAGTTCGCTCAACAATAAACTCTGAGAGCATATGTGTCAATGATTGCAAGTCACATACATGTTTTATTTAGTCCTTAGAGTTTTGTTCTATTTTGTTCATTAAGTACCCAGCTAAAAATATGAGGGGATTTGTATTTAAATTTTCTTGATAAATTCAATCACTAGTAACATAGTTTCTGAATGATTGCAGTGGGCTCAACCTGATGAAAGTTGTCCCTTTTAGCCTGTCTAGACTGTTTACACTTTATCATAATCATCCTGCTCAGTGGTCTTTCCACCCAAGCCATTTCATGGAATCAGGTTATAAATGCCTTTGTAGGCATTTGGGTTTTAAATACTACTTATAATTACCTGTATCACTTTCAGCTCTTGCATCTATTATCCTTTGATTCTGAAATATCCTTCCACCTATGTAATTACTTATAATTTCATTCATAATTGTTCTCTGAAGCCTGAACTGGTCAGTTGATCAACTGCTGGGTTGCAAGTACAGTGTACATCTAATTTGTTTTCAACAGCTTGCATCATAGCACAATTTTTAACTTGCTTTTCCATGAACATGTTTATTTTCTTCTTGTTTCCTTTTTACAACATCATCTTCATATTAGCTTTTTTAGTGACTCCGTCAGCAATGCGTTTAATATTGCCCCTCACAGGCTGCTCCCACAGCTCAGGGTATCTGAAGCCTTATGAGGTGCAAAGTTCTCACAAATCACAATGAACATTTAACCTAAATGTACATGAGTAGCAGGATTTATTAAAATTTAAATTGACCAACCGATTTGATTTAGTTCTATACCCTGATTCGTTTTAATCTATAAGCATATTTGCATGGGCTAATTTGCATGGCCAATACACAGATGCACATCCATGCATATTTATTTTAAGTAATTTAGGATGTTAATTTAGTAGATATGATAATGCAATCTTAAGTTGAGAAAAATTATGACATAAAAGTCTGGCAGCGTGGGGAGTCTGTAGTATTTAGTGATACATATAAGTAATATAACTGTTACCAAAAAATAACCCCTCAATTACAAAAGATATATGATTTATGTTACTTTTATTATTTTAAAATACACATTTTATATATGATTTTTTACAATATTATTATATTTTACTTAATCTTTTTCAAAAGGCAAAAAGGTGATATTTTTTAAAATAAAGAGGAGATAGTTTCAATCAGTATGTATATAATTTTTTTAATGTCATACTATGAGACAGTATAAAACAGATACAAACGAAACCTCCAGTTGAAGCAAACTAAAGCATTCAGACTCTGTTTATTTGGTATCTACCTACCTCTTTCCTGCCCTTATCCCAGAGCCTCTGAGGCACTTCAATATAGTTCCAAGGTTCTTCAAAAATCTGTTCGAAACCACTGGATTAGATAGTATCTGGTGTTCTTTTGCGCCAATATTCCTTAAGTCTGAAAGTCATTTGTACCTATCTTAGATTTCTTATATAATGTAATTTGATGTCAATAAGTATGTTTAAGACTATATTAATTGTATTTTTTCAGACAGCTAAAGAAGAAGCGTATTATTAAATTATTCTTTATAATAGGGTTTTTTTCTTAATATTTTGGAGGAATAGTGAAACACACAAGAATGATCAATGATCCTGTATGTGCACATTTTCCAGCTGAAATACTAGAGTTCCTGAAGACCAGCTTTCCAAATCTGATCCGAAGGATATTATGTCTCACTTACCAGTCCTACTTTGCTTTTATGCTATCATAAAGACTTAATGATGTCCCATCAAGACACATTAACATTTCCCTTGAGCTGGAATAGTATGAAACCTACCTGAATCCTTTAGCTTTTTGTAATCTCTTTTCCATAACCAGTCTTATATTTCAGAGCAAGTGGAGAGCCTGTTTTAGTACTGCAGATGAGCAATGTGAAGCCAACACCTTGACTATACAATGGAGCATGAAAAAATGACGGGGAGGAGCAGCCCCAAGGTAGCTTAAAGAAAGTACTTGGAGGATATCCAAACTACAAATAATGATATCCTGTGAACCCCACCCCGAACCCCCAGCATGTTTTGTGTTAGACTGAGAGCCCAGGGCTCCTCTCTTCTAACAGAGGAATACGTATCCAAGTCAGGGAGCCAGTCAGGGGAGAAACTGTAGAAATCACTGGAACACATTATGTATGCGCAAGAGCATTGATATTGGATGAAAAATATTACAGCACACAGCCTTGTTTCCTCTTTAAAATTGGACATTTTAATATGTTATTTTCTGCAAGTTGTAGGGAAGGTATACATTATTGATGAGATCATGTTTTATAGAATTTCAGAATTTCTGGCTTTTCCAGTCTATCATTTTCCTAGCATCATAATGAAAAGAATTCTCAAAAAAGAATCTTCCAAGGTTCCGAGGTACGATAATGAGAGAACAGACTGAACGAATGCTCTTTTCATTTCTGTCCTTCTTAGCTCTGTCATCCTTTTGTTTTCTTCTCTCCTCTACCACACTCCTTCTTCACTGTTTGTTGAAGTGAGATCTAGAAGCCAGTAAAAAGAAAGGATGGTTGCTTTGCAGAAAATTTACAGAGCTTTTAATAAAAGGAGGGGCTGTGGGAAAGAGTCACTCACAGAGAAGACCTGTGTTCCTCTCAGGCCTTCCTCCCAATCACCTGAAAAATGGGCAGAAAGAACAAAGAGATGGTTGGTGCTCTGCCTGCGAAGCATAGAGCAAGGAATCCCTGTGCTACCCCTGTGTTTTGTCACCCCTGTTCTCTTTCGCTGAAGGAGTATGTTGTAGAGATTACCTTTCATAATGCTCTAGTTTTGAATATAACTGAAAATGAACTAAAAGTTATGATTTTGAGTCTTAAGCACTCCTTTCATCATCAAGCCACTTCAATATCTTCTGTCAGTCAAACACAGAGAAAGAAGGAAAGATTCCACAAGTGTCCCCTTTTTTGTGTGATTGGAGAACACAAGGCCGTAATTCCATTTCGTGCATATTTGTTGCACAAAACCATTTTCTCTGGTGATGCTTTTTAGCAGTCCTTCTGGCTTTTACCTCATTATCCCCTAGCTGTTTGGAGGTGCAATACTGACCAAGAGGGGAAAGGGATATGAAAGAACATACTTTCCTCTGCAGTCCTCCAGTCTGGAGGCCTGAGGGAGCAGTGCTGGGCACAGGCTTCAGGAGGGTGGGTCACTAATTTTTTCATATGCTAATCTGCATAGCAACTCCATTTTTCCCTGACCATCTGTGCCCAGTCACGTTCACCCTGCAGCCACTTGAACCTGAAGATGTTGTGGGAATTACTGTAATGATGACTGCATGATGGCGGGGCAGGTACCCCTGTAGTCAGCTGGTATCCAGAAGCACTGTAAGAATAAGTAAAACCTCCCCTCTGGAAAATAAGTAACTGGAAATTTGTCATGTTTTCCTTTGGTTAGTCCTACCCTTAAATTTTAAGTTTCTTTGTTATTTAAATCCATAGATTGCAGCTGTAGTCAAACATTGGAGCCATATTTTTCCTGTGTTCAGGGAAAGTTACTGCTTGAATCTTAAGTGTATCTCAAATTGCTCAATGTAAACAATTCCAATGCCCAGGGAAAGAGTGGGATAGAGGAAAATTATACATCTGCCTAGTATTTTTCCATTTTCAACATTCTTTTTTTTTTTACTTGGACAAACCTTCATCTGAACCATAGATTAACAAATTATTAAAAATTATACATGGCTAAGGAGTGGCCATCCAGCCAAGTCAGGTGAGCCAGTTGTTAGGCCCAAAATATTTCCTGACTCAGTTACTCTTACTAACTACACAGAGATGCATGGTTGTCCTTTTCATGACTCTGTCCTTGTAGGTAATTTAATTTACAAGGAATCCAAGATCAGCACTTGTATAAGTAAATAAATTAATTACTTAATACTATTTCTCAATCATAAATCTCATACCCACCACATTTTGAGAAGATCAATAAATATATTCCGTGAATAATACCCTCGTTTTCAATACTTTAGAATGCCACAGCTGACAGCAAAGACCACTTAGGGGCTAAAGAATATTAGTCAGCATGACAGGCTTCATCCTGGTCAAGAAAGGTTTCACCTCTACTTTAATCCACCTACTTTTTATTATTTCTCTTTTTTTTCTTTCTCCTTCTTAGCACTGCTAGTGCAACTAGCACTAAGAGAACTTATGCATGAAAGAGGCTTTTGTGAGGCTTTGATGAACTTCTATTCCTGCAGAAAGATGCAAGGAATTACCTGGATAGGCAACATCTGGCTTACCCTTCTTTCCCCAAACTGAAATTCATGTTCTTAGGTTGAGAGTAACTTACTGATTCAGTTGTTGATTTTGAAGCTTGAATCATGTCGATGTTTATTTTCATTGCAAGTGACTATTTCAAAATGAAGGAATGAATGTTTTTACCCTAGTATCTTGAAAATGATTAAAAAAATACATTTGACTAACTAAAGTTTTTTTACTTACATTTTATTTTCCAACATGTTATAGTGATCTCAGTAAGATCTAGGATTGGGACACTGACTTTGAGTCCAACTTTTGATTTATGTCATAATTGGTGCCCATATTCATGTAGGTGGGAACTAAATATACAATATTACCCATAGTCAGACAAAATATAGATTTAGACAGAGCCTGGCTTACAGGTAGAAGAATTGGATGAGAAATTGTGATGGGCATTTGGTGTTCAACTCACAGGTAGAGTACAGTGGATGGGTTTAATACTATGAAAACAACTGGTCAGCTTCGTCAGCTCTAAGGACAGAATGAAAGGCAGAGTGGCTTGGATGACTCATTCTGAGAGGATGCCTAGTGAAGGGCTCTTTCACCTATTGTGTGCCACAGACTTCTTTGTCAGTTTGATGAAGACATTGGACCTATTCCAAGATTAATTACTTAATGCATAAATTAAAAATCCAGAATTTAGACTTCCATGTCTGGGAAGATGAAATAGAGTGCTTTTTCCTCTTTTTCCCACTAAGTTTAACTAAAAACCTTAGACATTACATGTACAACAAACAGAAGACTCTGAAAGTTGTAGAGAGGAGGGCAGATAGGTTAGTAACCTTAAGACTGATACAGTGGTGAGTTCCCAGGGTTTGTTAGTTTGTTGTATCATTCATCTCATACTTGTAGGTGAAGAAGCCAGCAACTTAAAAGCAACTTAAAAATACCAACGGGTGGCCGGGCACGGTGGCTCATGCTTGTAATTTCAGCATTTTGGGAGGCTGAGGTGGGTGGATCACCTGAGGTCAGGAGTTCAAGACCAGCCTGGCCAACATGGTGAAACCCCACTTCTACTAATAATACAAAAATTAGGTGGGCATGGTGGTGGACACCTGTAATTCCAGCTACTCGGGAGGTTGAGGCAGGAGAATTGCTTGAACCCAGGAGGCAGAGGTTGCAGTGAGCCAAGATCGCGCCACCCACACTCCAGCCTGGGCTACGGTGCAAGACTCCACCCTGTACTCACCCTGTACAGGGTGGAGTCTGTATCCACCTCTGTCTCCTGACAGAGCAAGACTCCACCCTCAAAACAAATAAAACAAAACGAAACAAAAAACACCAACAGGTACAGAGAAAAACGAAACAAACAGCAGCACCACCAACAACAACAAATATACAAGTGTCTGCAAAAGTTGGCTCTCTCTAGCCAAAATACCAGGAAAGGAGCAGACCATAAAACAGGAAACTTTTAGCCAATAACTATTCTAGTTCAGCCAAACACCACAGAAAATACTGTGGCCCAATCTTCACCCTGGCCAGAAAAGACTGAAGGGAGTGGAAGGCCTAAACTTCCACTCTCACTAGGCAATAATGAAGTGCCTCAAGCTACCCTGTTGGGTAGGTGGAGTAA